>NC_000010.11:54234004-54385519 GCF_000001405.40 Homo sapiens
GAGTCGTCCATGTGGTAATTTACTGTTAGCTTGGAGAAACACATATATTCAGAAGTATTTGTATGGATTTAGGGAAAATTAAGAGTTTTGACAAAGTACGTGAAGTCAGAGTCATGGATATCCCCTTCTGTGTGTGTGTGTGTGTGTGTGTGTGTGTGTGTGTGTGTGTGTGCTGTGTCTGGTTTTTGTTTTTGTGTTTCCATTTGTACCAGACTGATGTGACTTAGGTAACATGCCTTATTTTCCTTCCTAATGCTAATAACAATGTCAACTAAAATGTATTGAGCATTAACTTTTTTTCCAGGCAGCATTATGTACATTTACAATGTATTGGATCAAATTCTCACAACCCTTTTGTACAAAGATCTATTTTTGTTAATCCTATATTAAAGAAGAATAATCTGGTCAGGTAGTGGCTCACGCCTGTAATCCCAGAACTTAGGGAGGCTAAGGTGGGAGGATCGCTTGAACCCAGGAAGTCGAAGCTTCAATGAGCTATGATTGTGCCGCTGCACTCCAGTGCGGGTGACAGAGCAAGACACTGTCTCAAAAGAAGAAAATAAGAAGGACTAATTTCAGGTAAAGGGGGGCTAAATAACTTAAATAAAATTATGTCTAGTGTGAGTTAAAGTCAGGATTTTTAACATGGACAGTACAATTTCCAGAGGCTACACTCTCAACCCCTACAATTCTCTTCCTTCTAAAAATGTAAATAGTGTAAAAGGATATTATTCATTTACCTTAGCTGTGACAGCAAATAATTGTAAGAGTTTATATCTATTGTTTGGGACAATCCACTATCCTACGGTTGTAGGCTGATGAAACTTTCCATCACTGTGTCACTTTTCTGTTAAAATTTTTTAATTGGCTCCTCATTTCACTCAGAGAAAAATACAAAGTAGATAAATAACATACAAGGCTCTCTAGTTTCTGCTCTGTTCTTATCTGTCACCTTTCTACTTTTACCTCACTCACTTCTTTCCAGTACTTCCGGCCCCCTTGTTGTTTCTGAAACCCACCTGGCAAGCTTCAGTTTTGATCTCTGCCTAGAACTCTTCCCGGAGATATCAACGAGAATAACTTCCTCAGCTTCTGTAAGCCTTTGCTAACAGCTTACCTTTTGATGACACAAGTGCTGATGATACTGCTTAACACTGCAACTTCTACTACAATCCTCCTCTGCTTTTCCAATCCCATTCATATGATCGATTTTTCCCATAGCATTCACAACTTTCTAACTTTGATAATAAACACTTACTTATTATAGTAAATGTTTATTGCCTATCTCTTCTGCCAGAAAACTGGCTCCACAAAGTCAGTGATAGGGGTTGCTTCACAGGGTAGGTGATCGTTTGTTGAGAAAAAGAATGCACATAACTTTTAAAAGTGAAATAAACTTGAACACCAATGCATCCAACTGGCTCTGAGTATCATAATTATCCAAGTCTGTTATTAAATTTCATCCTTTGGCTTTTGCACATGCTGCATTATCTATATAGATAATTGTCTCTCTTTTTCCACCTGGAAACTCCTGTCTTTCTGCTAAAATGACACTTCCTAAGCAATTCTCATAAAATGCTTAATGCTCTCCTCTCATGAGCCTACATGTGGTTCAAACTTTATTTAGAGTGCCTTAAATATTGTATTTTAATTTATCTTTTACGTTGTTTTAATGTTTTTTAGCCACAGACTCCACGACTCCCTAACCTAGAACATTCATCTCTCATATTTGTGTTTTTAGCATCTAATAAGAGTGATTGACATACAGTCAAGCCTTCAGTTAATGAAATAAATGATGCTTTATTATCTACACCAAGATCTCTATAGACTTAAAATAGTTTCTGTTTATGAAAGTTTTTTACAAATATAAAAGTCTGAGCTCTGCTTATGATATTTGTGTCTTTATAAAGACCAAAGGCTTGAAACAGAATTGCTTGAATTTTCTTTACAGACAGCATTTCTAAGAAGGATACAGTATGATATTTGCAAATCTAATATCTGTTGGTTGTTGTGTATTTGTATATGCACATAGGCTTCAAGTAAGAGGACAGAAAGGGGTTGAGGGCTAATGCTGAACTCCATTAAAGTTATTTTTCAAGCACACTTCAAAAGAAGCCCTTTCTCCCTTAAAAGATATATAGCCTGTCTCACATGCATCTGTCTGTCTAGAGGCTATGCAAATCAGCAACATCCATATTTCAGCAAAAGCAATCTAAGAAGAGCAGCATAATCAATTTCTCATCATTTTTGCTTTTGACACAATTAGTAGTATATGCATAGGGATGGATTAGGATGGTTTCTGTGGAATTTTTCAAGAAAAATATTTACCAAAGGTTAATATTTCGTGTTCCCTTGGGCTAATCGTGCTCTCTCACCTTTTTTTTTTAAATGGCTCCAAAATAGCTCTTTTTAAATTCAGTCATATATTATCACAATTATGTATAGTAACCAACCAAAGGTAAAACACGTGTAAAATGTTTTTCATTTTATATTAAAGCTGAAAGTTGGTGCTAGAGGAAGTTTTATATGATAAGTTGATATGTAGAAAAATACTAATATGTAGGTTAATTTCCTAATATTTTGAATTGCTTTGCTTCTTCCATAAAAGTTATTCATTTATCATTCTACACATTTCAGTCCAACAAATTGAGGAAGCAAATATCTTGAATTATTATTTTTAAAATGTGTTTATACACAAAAGTAACAATCATGTCAAATAATAAACTTTGTTATTTAAAATATTTCCTTGGAATTGAGAGAATTTGTTACTGTAAGATTCTAGAATAACTGATAGTGTAAAATGTTATCAGATACAAACCAACAAGGATGGAATAGAGGATTCCTGGCCTATCTGATGGCGGTTGAATATTCCGGTCCTGATCAATGGCTTGGATTGGTGGCGTAACAATAATGGGGTTCAGTTCTTCCTGAAAAAAAAATTAAGAGAGTTTCATTCAGCCGCATTACTAATACTTCATGAAGGATTGAGACAGATGCTTTAGTTTGGAAATCTATATAACGTCTGAGACAGTAAACTCAAGTTTCAACATTTATGATCTAATACCTTTTACTAGTTAATTTTGAATGTTAAGGGGGAGCAAAGTATTCTCAAAGTCAAAATGGTAAGACATAGTGATTATGCACATAGACATTTATATCAGTAACTACTCCTAAAAGGAAATCAAGGAAGAATGATAATGCACTTTTAATCTTCTCTAGAGGATTTCACAAAAGAAATAGCAGCCTATCAAATAGTTTATGAAGTAATGTTTTCTCTTTGCTTTAGACAAGATTTGTAAGAATACTTGTATTCTTTCCTTGCTAAATCATTTTTTAGTTTCATACACATCAATTATATTAAAATATAAATAAAGTAAATAATTTCATAAAAATAAAAGTCACATTATTGCAAATTTCATATAATTAAAATTGATTTTAAATATTGCAGGTATTTACATGTATTTTACAATGGTCTATAAGAAATAATGTTTAAAATTATAATATACTTCTTTAATTTGGTGTTTCCCAATTTAATGTCCAGTACTATTTTGTTGTGCTATCAGGACTGGCAAACATTTTTCTGTAAAGAACCAGATAATAACTATCTTTAGGCTTTGCCAACCATATGGTCTATGTTGCAGCTACCCTCAACTCTGTCATTACAGCACCAAAGCCCAAGTGGGCATGGCTCTGTTGCAATAAAACATTACAAAAACAGGTGGTAAGTTATATGAGGTTACTGACTACTGTGATCATAATAGATATGCTAAAAATACAACAATAGGTATGTTGAAAAATAATAAAAAGCTTATCTACACAGATATGCTTGGGAAATATGATATTAAATACAGTTTTGAAAGCCAATTAACTGTACTGCAAATCTTTTCAGACTTAATTATGCTAATCTGCATACTGACTTTCTAAGAAAAGGGTACTATTTGCTCACTTTCAAGAAACACCCATTAACCTGTTTTTGAAATGATGCCTTTAGAACACAGTTTGGGAAACACTACTCTAAGTTATGTAGCCCTCATCCCAAATATGTAAGTGGTAATTCTAAATGAAATACTTCTAAAGGGTAATTCTAAAGGGAAATTCCATTACATATTTGGGCTGAGGGCTGTGAAACTTAAACTACTGTTTCCCAAACATTTAGTATGTCTCAATATCTACAACCTTACATTCTAAAAAATTACTGCAATGTTCTCATATTATTTCTTCTCAAATGACAGAACATTGAAATATGTAATGTACTTTTATACAAAACCAGTAGTTTCAGTTCTCAGCAAAAATGTATAGTGATGGCATGCTAAAAAAAGAGCAATGATATTAAAACATTATGTATAATACTTGATTTTATATTGAAGTTATAATAAGGATAATTATTGACCAATAATTTAAACACCATAGACATTGTATGGGGTTTCTCTCGAGTTCATTATCACTAATAGGTCCTAAGTAGTCTAAATGTTATCAGTATTTTCCTGAAAATAAAGAGTTGTTGGTAGTAGCAACTTACTAATACTCTATTCTCTCCTTTAAACGTGGAATCAGAACCACGAAAATACCAAATAAATATCAAAATTACTCCATTAAATCCAGAAGATTATTGTTCTTAAAACGCAACTCTCACTGAACTTTTCCTCCCATGCTGCCTCTCTCTCTCTCTCTCTCACACACACACACACACACACACACACACACACACACTTTCCCAATAATCAATTTGCTTGGTATGCAATACCTGTATTTCTCCCTAAACTGAAAAAAAAATCTGAAGTTCTTTGAAATATGTATGTTTGAGCACAGGACTTAAGAGTTGACAAGCTCTTTCTAGTAATTTCACTGAGGAATCTGATTGCCATCAGCCAAAGTCAGCTTATACTTAAGCTGTATCACTCCTGGTTCATATAATTAAATCTGCAGTAATTTTTCCAAAACCGAGGCTCTATTTGGATCCTGTAAAGGCATTTCAAATCTGAGGATTTTCTGCAGTTCCATTCTGCATCTCATAGTCAGAAAAATATTTTCCTAAACAATTTTTGCTATTATAAAATAAGTAATTTCTTATCTAGAAATTAAAATAAAATTGAATCTTAGCTTTTCGTTTGGAATGTAAAATGTAAGCAAATCACAATATTTGAGGATATGTTGGCTGATCACCTTCATCTATTTATTTCTATAGATTTGCTAAGTTACCTACACATAAGCAGTTTTAGCTTTAATTAGTAATGTAGTATAAAATATTCTTTCTATAATATATAGAATTGTTGAAATGAGCAACATAATTTATTTACATTGAATTGTTGTATAAGCAATGTAAAAACTAAAAGTAACACATCAAACAAAACCAAGAGGAAGGGAGAAATGAAAATTAAATTCCTCATCTTACACATTTGCCTGTGATTAAATATATATATATATATATAGAGTAAGAACTGAAGAACTAAAAAGAAACAAGTGTAGTATTTAGAATTATATTAATAATTAGAAGATGAAAAACTGTGAGTATCTCAGGATACTGAGCATGGAAGTGAGGGTAGATGGGATAGAAAATATTTTACATAAAGCCATTTGGTACTGTGTGACTATGTCATTACCATAGCCCGTACTATTTGTTTTAACATTATTAATAAATAAATTATAGTATTGAGAATAAAAGAAAATAAACTCTCTTGATAAAGGCTTTCACAAGTTTCTGCAAATTTAAAAGAAATGGTGTGGTTTAAATAACTTATCAGAATTGACATTTTATCTTGTCCTATAGAGACTAGCAACTTATTTTACAATATTTATTTTTCCTTCTGCTACCATAAATGAAATTGTCAGATAATCTAGGATTAAAGGTGAAAAGAATGATTTCTTAACTATTATGTGTATGATTACCTCTCAAGTAAACTGTGCTCCATGAAGCTTGAAATGTTTAAATATTATTAATACATGACATTAAAGAATACTAAAAATTATGATTTTTAGGATGACCTTGTTAAATATTTAACATATTTTATAAAGATATGTAGCATTGAAGTCAGAGGCAGACAATTTATATACATTAATTAGAAGAAACAACATAAATAACATGCATTATGTTTGAACTTCTGTCTGCCAACACAACCTCCACAGTAGATGAAACCAGGCCTGGAAAGGGTATTCATATAAGCAAGAACAACCCAGATTGAAATGGTTCCTTAGAATAAGTGAGAATTTTACAGAGAGAACAGAAGTAAAATAATAATAATAATATGTACGTATTCAGTTCAAGTATTTTTTTTTAACAACAGGGTAAATCCAAAGAAAACTGAGTAAAAATAAAATGAAAAAGGAAAAAAAAAAGTAGTATATAGTAGTAAAGTATCCAATGCTGATGAACAAAGGAAACAGATAAAAGAAATAGTCTTTGATTACCAAGTGCCAGCATATTACTGTCCTTGAATTTATTGAAAAATAGTATCCTTATAATGAACCTCTTTTTCCCTAAGTTAGTTTCAGGTCAGTTCTCTGACTTTAAACCTAGAGTACCAATCTAATAAAGGGCTAAAGATAAGAGAATAACAGATGGTGTGTTGGCTCTCTTAGAGACATTTACTTAAACTTCTAAATTCTGTTATTTATTTTCTTTTGCTTTTTTTTTTTTTTTTTTTTTTTGAGACAGAGTATCGCTCTGTTGCCCAGGCTGGAGTGCAGTGGCGCGATCCCGGCTCACTGCAAGCTCCGCCTCCCGGGTTCACGCCATTCTCCTGCCTCAGCCTCCCGAGTAGCTGGGACTACAGGCGCCCGCCACCACGCCCGGCTAATATTTTGTATTTTTAGGAGAGACGGGGTTTCACCGTGTTGGCCAGGATGGTCTGGATCTCTTGACCTCGTGATTCACCCGCCTTGGCCTCCCAAAGTGCTGGGATTACAGGAGTGAGCCACCGCGCCTGGCCAATTCTGTTATTTTCATTGAACACAGTTACAGCTCTATGAAGAGAACAGAATTATTCTTGCCCATGAATTGAAATAATGTAATCATTTACAGGATTTAGCAAATAGCAGATATTTAACATAATTTTGCCAACTTATTCTGTTGAGTTATCCAAAGAGATCACTACTCTCTGGTCAACTTTGTAATATCCACTAGCAGAAAATAGTCCATCTGTGGCTACTGCCAGGTCTTCCACAGTTCCAAAAAGGAGATTGATTCAGTGACTTGTTTCTTCTGAAGAACAGAGTCTCTTCACATAGACAATAATTGCTGTTGCTTATTCTCTGTCGTCCTCATTTCTCCTAGTTTTTGACTTTACTGCCTATATTACAGAGGAAGTACGGTATGTGTTGAAGAAATTAGAAGTCCACCCATAGCTCAAATATGCTTGGGTATCCTTTATGGAAAGTATCAAAATGTTCCTCTATTTTATTACAATTGCTATATTTATCTTTTTGCCAAAAGCTTTATTGGTCTGTGGGCAGAAATTATCTTATTTGTACTTACAACCCTCAGCCTAGTGCCTCACAGATTTCAACAAATTTTTGTTATCAAGTCAAGAAACACAGAAAGAGCTCCCCAAACCCTGGATGGTTCTTTTATACTTTGCCTCTGAAGCAAAGCTGCTTTCTTTGCTGTCTCATTTGTCTTCAAGAAGAGGTCATGTCTCCTGAATTCTGTTCCAGTTGATAAGCATATATTAGAAGCACACAGGATAGCAGATTTGCATTTCATTGCTGTTTGAACTGTCAGAGCTACATTCCCTGTCTTAGTCATGGGGACACATAAGTAAAGTGAATTAGGTCCATATAAAGAGATTCATAATGAGAAGGTAATCATAGAAACGATTAAACAATAACAAAAAAAGTCTTCTGTGAAAATACTGTGTAATTATATGGTTTAAGAACCTTAAAATTATTATTTTAATTTTAAGAACCTTAAAATTATTCTATTTTGAATACATGCTTCCTATTCATTAGCTTTTCTGGAGACACACCTTCTCTTTTGAGCAATGTTAAGACAATGTTTTCATGCAGAACTGTTGTATTATTCTGAGAGGATAACAGTAGCCAATTAACATTTGATGTGAGTGAGGGTTAATTATGCCTCATGAAACCTCACTACCAGATTGAAAATGAACTTTTGGTCTGAATTCTATTTTTATATATATATATATATATATATATATATATATATATATATATATATATATATATATACACACACACACATACATACATACACATAATCATTAATAAAAATATATTAGCAAGCAATCCCAAAAGATTAAGAAGCCTTTTTGTAGATTTAATAAAATCTCAGCTTTCTGGTCATTTAGGTGTTCATATGGTTATCTTGAACAAAAGGTATATTCAAGAGAAACACTCAGATTTCAGAGATTGGATACATTCACTGTTTAGCTTATATCAGGTTAACAGAAGTCATGATCCATAGAACAATAAGATTTAACCTATTATATCATCCCTAATGTTAAATGCATACATGATGCCTATGATTTTCACTGTTTCATGCATGGGTAGGTTGTCTTTAAAATAATATGAAACCAGTTCTTACTTTTAAAATACTTCTCACTTCACCAATGAAAAATAATATCTATCATTTACACAAGTTGATGGGTCAGTAAACTTAAAAAAATGACATTTCGCAGACTGATTATTAAAGCTTCCAGCCTTGGTTGAGATAGACATAATAGAAGCATTGTTAAAATACTAAATATTCTCAACTTGGCATTTGAATGATGTCTTCATCTGAGTAACGTATACATAGTAGTATACTGAATGTGCCCAAGTATTTCAAATTAACTGAAGGCATTATAATTATCTTCAAGAAAGAATATGTTCTGATACATCCCTGGAAAGGTAATCTGAGCTCATATAAGTACACAGTTTGCTGTTATAAAAGCCAAACTTTGATGTATTATATAATATTCCACTTATCATTGCTTAGATCTTTACACTGTATTTTAATCAAGTAATAACATCATAGTATTTGGAGAAAGGTTATGCTAAAATAGTAAAAATATGCTGTAAGTATTCCAAGACCAATAATTAAGTGATTTGAAATCTTAGTAACTATATAATTTAATACCTAAGTTATTGAATTTATTATTTAGTACTTAATTACTTTCACTAATTTTGTGTGTTCTTTACATTTAAGTAGGTGCTTTTTCAATATCTATTAAAGTCATTAATATTTAATTTGTACACTTCCTTTAACAACAGAAAATTTCTACTACATTTAAGGAAAGTCAGTGTCACGCCTGTAATCCCAGCACTTTGGGAGGCCAAGGCGGGCAGATCACGAGGTCAGGGATCGAGATCATCCTGGCTAACACGGTGAAACCCCTTCTGTACTAAAAATACAAAAATTAGTGGGGCATGGTGGCGGGCGCCTGTAGTCACAGCTACTAGGGAGGCATAGGCAGGAGAATGGCGTGAACCTGGGAGGCGGAGCTTGCAGTGAGCAGAGTTTGTGCCACTGCACTCCAGTCTGGGCGACAGAGCAAGACTCAGCGTCAAAAAAAAAAGTTAGTGAACATTATTAGTCTCATTTCATATTACATTGCAAATGTACTATTTTCCTCAAAGCTCTTGATTATTTTCAGCCAGATTCTTGCTTGTTTCCATGTGTTACTAACATAGAGAATTAGAACAAATCAAAAATTTTCTCAAACACATTCATATAGACATAAATACAATTATATGTTACCTTTAGAGGCCAAACAACCATTTCTGTTTTCACTTTGCTTAGTTTTGCTTTTTTCAAGGGTCAGAAATATCAGATTGTTTGAAAAAGTATCAGACATATCGAAATGTTTTTCCTGGTGAGATTATTTTAAAAAATAGTAACGAATTGGGGTGAGTAGTATGGGCCAAGCCAATTACTTTGAACTTTTTGTATTGTTATGGAAGAAACACAGGTTGAACATTCACAAACCTCTTTGAAACTGATTCACTGCATATATCAAAGTTCCTCAAATGGTTTTGACAATTATTATCCTTAGAACAGAAGAGTGAAGAGCACATTTGAGATAGGTATATAATTATGATTCATGAAAATCATAACAATTCATGCCTGATCACTGGAATTTCGTATCACATATTAAAACAAAAACTCACTTAGCTAACAGAAAATACCCTTGTTTTATTATTTCCATGAGCAAATTTTATGACCCCTCCAATATCATACTCTTTATTCTACCAAGTATGTGTAAATTTACCTTGTATAATGTGACTGAATTTGTTTCCAAAATGTGCATTTCAGTATCCTCTCAATTGCATATTTGAATACTTTTACTGATACTTCCCTTATTTTCAAAATACTTCCTTGAATGTCTTTGTCTTTAAAGTTTGTTTACCTGGGATTATATGCCTCCTTTTCTATGGATCATCAAATGATTTCTAGACAGGCAATAAAAACCTTGGCTGGTGGTAACCCGGTAATTATTTTCCATGAATAAATAATAAAAGCCTGTAACAAAATCTTGTTGGTAACAAAAGGTTGGTGACTTGTTCCACGCTGTCCAAGTGACAAAGTCTGAAGCATTACTGCAATCAAGTTGGCTTTGACTATCAAAAATCGTTTTCCACATAACTCAAACCTGAGAATATGCATTTCACAGATGTTGTAAGGAGGATACATAGATCACAGAAATATTTCTTACAACCCTTTCTCACATTCTTATCCATTTCTATAACAACTATTCTGGTTCCTACTTCTCACACTGCCACAGGGCTAACTCAAAATCTTCTGGTTATTCACCTCCCCTTCATTCCCATCGTGCACATCAAAAATCCTCCAAACGATTTTGACAAGCATGACCCACTCTGGAAGTCAGAGGAAAGGAAGAAATTGAGCAGACAGAGTTTGCTTTACCATGAAGATAAGGAGACAATCTTGGGAGAATTTATTTGTTCATAATTTTAGTCTCATTAAATTTGGATGAATATTTCAATGATAATAATGATATGGTTCCCATTGTGTGCTCTCATCAGGTCAGGAGACGACTGTTTTTGTGATGACTTCAATTCATTGTCAAATCACAATTCTATCTAGGACCTCCTTGTTAGCAGGGACTGTGTGAGCACTCCCTAGGTTTTTCACCCTCAATCTCTCCATATAAGGCCTCCACACTCAATAGGAAGGCAATAAAACAAGGACAACAAATATGAAACATATATAACAAAGTAGGCCTTTTTTATTGATTTGATTTTGGAGAAATAAAATCTGATTTTGCATTATCAGATGCAGTAGTTTGGTAAAAGAACATACATTTTTAATTTAGATAAATGAAGCAAAGTAATGTACAGTTTTCCCAAGTGGTTTTATCATTTTATATTTCTACCGAGTATATGTGTAATAAATGTGAAAGTTCAAATCAATGGGAGAAAATGGATTTTTAATAAAGAATGATTAAATATTGGTTATCAATAAATAGAGAAAAAAATTATGATAGATATTGACTTTACCAAATAAAGCTTTGGAAGATTGCCAGATAAGTCTTTACCAGATACATCTTTGGTCGATTGCTTATGCCAAATAAATTTTTGTAGAACAAAAGTGAATGTATGAGAAAAACACATGTATTAGAAGTCAACATAGTAGAAAATAAGGTAAATGATTACTTAAAAATATTGCAAATGCTTGCTTAGCAATGATTTAAAACAATCCCAAAAATTGGAACTGTTGAAGGCATGAGGAGATGTGGGCTTTTATATCTGTGATGGAAATAAAAAGCAGGTTAAGTTCAAGGAAAAAAAAAATGAAATCTATCACTAGGTTTGACAATATGTATAGTATAGATTAAAGCATTTCAATTTGAGCTTTATCTTACATAAATATTGAGAGATATGCTCGGAGATGTGTTGAGAAGGATATTCATTGTACAATATACAATTTGCTTTTTAAAAGAATAAATTTCTTATTCAAGTACAACCTATGAGATACCTTCATAAATCAATAGTTCACAGTCTGATGAATTATCACAATGTTATAATTATAAATTCCAGGAAAAAAATTGATATTTTCACAAGGTCTGACAATATATGTAGCTTAAACTTCAGGATTGCACTTTGAGCTTCATCTTACATAAATATTGAGAGGGACATACGCTCAGAGATGTGTTGACAAGAATATTCACTGCACAATATATAATGTACTTTTAAAAATAAATTTCTTATTCAAATATAAGTTATGAGATACCTTCCTAAATCATTAGATCACAGTCTGACAAATTATTACAAAGTTATAATTCATTCATGTAATCACACTGTGATCAAGAAATAGAATATTGTCAGTATCTCAGAAAACCACTTATTAAATTATCTACTCATAACTACCCCTACTTCCATCCTAGAGATGGCCTGATTTGTAATATGAAAGATTTGTTTTACCTGTTTTAAATTTTCTATAAATTGAATTACATAGTATAAAACCTTTTATATATGGCTTTTTAATCAATTATTATGTCTTATATGATATGTATGAGTGTAAGATTCTTGCATATAATTAAGTGCAGTACTAGTATACTCATATTAATGGTTATACTATCATCCATTAGATGAATACATCATATTTTATATGTTAGTTTTTTTTCAACTGGCGATGAACTTTGTACTTCTTCTAGGGTATGCTGTGAGGATAATGCTCTTACGAACACTCTTGAGTATGTCTTCTTACTGATATGATTGCATTTGTGTTAAATAGAAGAATAAAGTTGCAGAGTATGTATACATTCTGATAGGCTAGATTACTGTCAGTTTTCTAACGTGGTTGTATGGTTTACATTCTATCACAGAGTAGGAGAATTCTAACTCTTTCACATCTTTACCAATTTCAGTCTCTTAAGATTTTAGCAAAGCCAGTGAATATGTATTATTATCTTATAGTTGCTTTAACTTGAATTTTGATGATGATTAATGGGGTTGAACAACTGTTTGATGATCTTGGACATTTGTAAAGTGCTGTTCCATATCTCTTGCCTATTTTAGTTGAATTGTCTGTTTTCCTTAATGATTCACAAGAGTTCTTCATATATTATAATTAAGTCATTTATCAGCTTAATGTTTTATAAATATTACAATTCTTATGGCTTATATTTAGACCCTATTAGTGTTATCTTGTCAAAGAAAAGTTTCTAATTTTAATATAGTTTTATTTATCCCTTTCTCTTTCCATATATACCTGGCTATTTCCTCTACCTGTACACATATCCTGAATGTATGAAGTATAGACAATAATTTTCCTTATCTATTTCCATAGATAAAATATTGCACTCATCCACATCAGAATTTATGTAAACTGAGTTGGCTTCCCTACAACTTTCTTGAGAGCAAAGTGAAGGTCTATTTTCTTTTATATCTGTAGGACCAGACAGTACATATGGCACACGGAGACTCAAAAACTTTGAATAAAGTGTTTCTTTGTTGTAGATTATTTAGAGTATTTTTAGGCTCATACACACTTGCCTTGCTCTCTGAATTTCTGTAGGACATCTAAATACAAATAATGATGTTTTTTGAGAATCTATTTATAATTTCAATATCTTTGAGCTTCCTAAATTGCTGCATTTAACTACAGGCCAAAATAATCTGGTCATAAGAGTGAATCATATACACATATAGGGGCTCACAGCGCTTCATTGAGATGGCCTTTTGGGGTAGTACAATAAACAATGTCATAAACATTCCAATAGAATGAACGGTGAACTCCTATGTCCTACAACAAAATATGCCAAGCTTGCCAATAAGTAGCAATAAAGCTTTTCGATAAACTAGTCTCTTAGAGCTTGAATTATGATTTTCAAGGTGAGATTAATAATATCTACATTACTTGCACCACTGCACTCCAGCCTGGGTGACAGAGCAAGACTCTTTCTCAAAAAAAAAAAGAAATATGTATATATATATATCTACATTGCATGATTGATGTGAGGATGCATGAAAGAATATATATATATATATATATATATACACATACAGTAAATGACATTCTTAATATGTGGAAATTATTATAGTTAGTTTTTTAAATTGATAATTTTAATGCTTTTAAATTGTGTAATCTGGGTGTTAAAATTGACTCCAAGTTATAAGCTAGGGAGAAAAAAATTTTCATTTGAAACTAGAAGCTTAATTGATACCATGTCTTACACATCTGTCTGAAAATAGGACAGTGATATGAATTTTGAAAGTTTATTTAGAATTCCATAGTTGATCAAATAATTGAGGAAGTAAAAAGGGATTATCTATCTCTGCTATTTAACTTGAAGCCAAGCTTCAAATGAGAAACTTATGAATTAAATTATTTAAAAATCGTACTTAAAAATAAGATAGTCTGCCAGAGAGTTGAATATTCACTTAAAATAGTTATCTTATTTTGATTTATTTAAAGGTAACTTCAGTGAAATTATTTTCTATAGACTAAGACATATCATACTTTTATATCCAATAATAAATTCATTCCCTACATTTTTATTGTAAAGAGTTGAAGTGAAATTTCTTAATTTGTTAACATTCAGATGAATTATATAAATGCATTAAGCAGTTGGCAGGTACCAAGAACTCTACTAACTGCTCAAGCAGTAGAAAATAAATTAGACACAAATTCTGGAGATATGAAAAAGCTCACAGTATCAGGGATGGGGATTCAAAGTGCAGGTACCACAAGTTAATTTAGAAAATGTTTTGTTAGGGCATTTCTCAATACATGGTAAGAGAAAGCTCTGATAAAAAAATTCATGCTGTCAAGTATTAAAGGTGAATTATAAAAAATAACAACAAACAGACATTCAAGCATGTGTACTTTGATCCAAGTATCAAATGTGATACTGCTAGTGAAAAATGATGTTCTTGTCTCTGATAGGAGTGGGAAAAAAGAGTAACAAAATATAGTAGAAAATCATCTAGAGACATTTTGAGGAGAGTTTCTAAATCGCCTTAAAAATGGAGGAGTTTAATTTTCATAAACTGAGTTGCCAATGAAAAACTTCTATAGGTAAATAGCAAAAATATTTATTGTCTTGGTGATTAAAAAATGATCCTAGAGTATCTTTAAAAGTATAGTTCAGAGAAGCAAAAATATTTATAACCCTACCACCCAATGATTATCATTTTTAATATTTAAGGTATTTTGTATCAGTATTTGTTATCTATGTATATATATTGCTTGTCTAATTGTCCGTATATAAACACATGTAATATTTTACCATGTTCCATATTTAATTTTGTTGACATTTTCATCTCATATCATAACATTGGTCTTCATCAATAAATATGCATCAAAAACCTATTTTTGCAATAGCTTTCCAAACCCACTAATGTCATAATTTATAAAATGATATATTTCCTCTTCAGTAGTGTGTAAAAAAGTCTAACTGCAGATGCTTGTCAATAGTGAGGGAGATATACATCTAGAGTGTTGCTAGTTAAGCATAAAGTATAATTTTAAATTTCTTTGGTCACTAGCATAATTTACTTGATATATTTGTGTCTTGCCTGTTCATTTACTTTGCCTATTTTGCTTTGTTTTAATTTGGGCATTTTAAAATTTTATTTCCATGGCATATGTGAATAGCATAGAAATCAACACTTTGTCACCAGCCTTAAACATATTTTCAGTTTGTTGTTTGCCTTTTAGTGTTGTTTTTGACATTTAGGAGGTTGGTGTTTTTATTTACTCAAATATTTCCCTTTCCTTTTGGATTTCAGGCTAGATACTTTAAACCATCTGAAAATTATGTGAATATCAAATTATCTATTTTTTTTCAAGTACTATGGCTTTTTTATATGTAATGTTTCAATCCATCAAGAAATTGAATAGTAAAGACTTAATACTCACCAAATTATAGGTGGAATTTTAATCTTTATCATTTATAACAGAAATAAAACTAGATTGAAAAACTATATTTTCCCATTGTATCTTAAATGGATATCTTATTTATTTATTTATTTGAGACAGAGTCTGGCTCAGTTACCCAGGCTTGAGTATGATGGTGCAGTCTCACAACCTCCACCTCATGGGCTCGGACCATCCTCCCACTTCAGCACCAGAGTAGTAGCTGGGACTACAGGTGCATGCCACCACATCCGGCTTTTTTTTTTTTTGTATTATTGGTTTCACCATTTTGCCCAGGCTGGTCTCGAACTTCTGAGCTCAAGCAAAAGGCCCACCTCAGCCTCCCAAAGTGCTGGGATTACAGGCATGAGTGACTGCACCTGGCCTATAAAATGTAATCTCATTGCAAAACTCAATGATGCCATGCTTCTATAATATGCTATTACTTTTTTTTTTTTTTTTTTTTTTTTGGAGACAGAGTCTCGCTCTGTCAACCAGTTGCCCAGGCTAGAGGGCAGTGGCGCAATCTCGGCTCACTGCAAGCTCTGCCTCCCGGGTTCACGCCATTCTCCTGCTTCAGCCTGTGGAGTAGCTGGGACTACAGGCACCCGCCACCACGCCCGGCTAATTTTTTCGTATTTTTAGTAGAGACAGGGTTTCATCACTTTAGCCAGGATGGTCTCGATCTCCTGACCTCATGATCCACTTGCCTCGGCCTCTCAAAGTGCTGGGATTACAGGCCTGAGCCACCGCGCCCGGCTTATTACATTTTTTAACACAGGTTTTCTCTAGTAGAAGAGAGCCATGATATTTAGGATTATGGATATGTGTGAAAGCTAGACATTTAAAAAGCACACAATGACTTGAAATATGGAATTGGGTATCAAATAATCTGGATTTACGGAAAACTAGTCACAAAATTCATGGAGATAAACAAGATGGAATGCCAAACAAGAAAAGACCATGTAATTGCATTTGTTAAATGTCTCTAATGTGTTCCACATCCACTTCCCAATCTCTCTCTCACACACACACAACCCAACAAAACTGCTTTCCTTGTAAATAAAATTTGAGGGTTGAAAACCAACATGTATACTTTTTGCATTACACATGTACTTTAATTATCATTTTAAATTCCTATATTAAGTTAAAAATACATATTTAGATTAATTTTATTGGTTTAATTCTTTTTCTTCAACAGTCAATTGACAGACGTCTTTGAGTACTTTTATTCTGAAGATAATATGAATCCTTGTATATATGAGAATGATGTTTCATTCTTAAATAAAAATTTGATTGAATTTTAGGTTCTCTATTTACAAACTTTTTCTTTCAATGCACTGCAAGTTCTACCTAATCTTTGCTTTCTTTATGCTTTCTTCTTTAACCATCTGGTAGAAATTTGCTTTTATCCTAGAAATAAATATAGTTTACCAGGGATTTTCCAAGTATTTGTCTGTGCTTTAACTGTGATTCATAATTAACACTTTTGATCTGCAAACACAGGTTCTTTATATAACCCTTGAGTGTTTTTGTCTTTGTTTTTGTTTTTCCTTACAGTATCTTTGTTATTGTACTTGCTTACTTCTCCTGGTTTATTAATAAACACAAACTAATTACATTTTTATCTGGCTCTCTGATCTTCGTTGCTTTATTCTCCTAGTCAGTTCGTCTGTAGTCTGGAAGATTTTTCAAACATGTAAGAGCATACTATAAAATCGTAGAGAGTGCTTTTTTTAACCAGGCTGATGCAGACAAAGTCTTGCCTCTCAAATTAGTTTCTGTGAACTCCACCTTTTGCTGGTCTATAAAATAAAGAGTAATCTTACCTTCTTTACCAAGAGGTTTGTTTATTAACTGTGGAAATGCTTGTAAAACACCTACTACCATTGTCCTATCAAGTTCTAAAAAAATATTTGTTATTATTGTTTAGAGTCGCAGCTTTGCTTTCTGCATCTTAAATCCTATCTTTCTGTCTTAAATCTCTTCAGTTTAATTATTTCATTTTTCTTCTGTATCAATATCTTTATTTAACTTTCAATATCATCCTATATATTCCATTCTTAATTAAATTTTATTTCTTATCCAAACTTTTAAAAATAATTTAATAGTGTTTCTTTTAGTCAATCTTATTAAATATATGCTCCCCCCTGCCTTTTTATCTTCAGTGTAAAATGCTGCTCTAATGTTGTGGAATCTTTCAAGGGATTCAAGTGTGTTTGAAACTGTGTATTAAGCGATGATCACTACCTTGCTGACTGCAAAGTTTCCATATTTCTGTGGTGGAGAGGTAGAAATCTCTCCTTTATCCCTGTCTACATCTCTTTTCCCTCTACTGCTGCTTTCTTACACTAGTCTTGGCAAAAATCGTACTTAGACCCCTTGTTTCTAGTGTTGATGCAACTTGTCATCCCTTTTTGCTGTCTCCACAAGTACATCAATAGGGCCATGAGTAAAACTAATGCAGATACTAGTAGCTGCCTGACATTTCAATTCAGACCTACTCTATGTATTTCAATCCAAACCTACTTTAGGTTAAGAGATGGAAAATGACATCACAGAAGAGGTGTTAGTTAAAACTATGTTTTCAAAGATTGATACTTCGAGGCAAAGCCTTCTCCTCTAACTTTTCCAGATAGAATAATATTGATTATCCTCACTATTCCCATTAAAATATGCTTTCCTCTGCATTAGATTATTAATCAGAACTCTCACATTCTTAGTTCATCATCATATATTTTATAGCAGTCCAGTCCAGAGGAAAGCATGCTGCCATCAGAGCCAGAACGACCAAGGTCTTCAAAACTCTTCTCCACAACTTATTCATTATGTAAATATATCTTTCTAAATATCAACGTTGTAAGTGTATAATAGTAACATTAATTTACAACGATTCATATATCAGATTAGACCAATTAATCCTATGTCATTTTAATTATAGAACTTTTCTCAGGATTTTTTTTTTTAAAGTAACATTAGACGGCCTTGCAGTGACTGTCCCAGGGAACATTCAATAAATATTAGTTTTATAATTTCTTATTATTCTATTTATGTATAAATTTCTTTCTGATCTGTACTATAGTTATATTGAAGAGAATGTCTATTTCTTTCATGTTAGTGCCTTACTTGGTGCCTGACACATTGTAGATACTCGATTGCCACTTATTGAATCAAAGAACCAAGGTATTGATTGAATTATGGGAGTAAAATAATTACAACATGTTATAAAGCTGGGAGATAGGAAAATCCAAAAGAAGAGATACATTTTGGGGAAAACAATTACCTAGTAAATTCGATTGAGGATTGGGTTTACTAGAGAAATATCATTTTAAATTCACAATTCAGAACTGGAGAAAATTTAAAAGAGTAAGAAACAGAAAAAATGAATAAAAATAACTTTGTTTTGATATTAATTTTCATATGTTGATTGAACCTTCAATATAGGCGAGAATATTAAAGTTACTGCATTTTCCTACAGTTTTTTTGGGTATATTCTATATGGAATGAACACAGTGGTTTTTATTGTCAGAATATTCAAATATTACTACTAATAGCACTATCTGTCACTGATCACATTCACTAGCACACTGTAGACCCTACATGTACATCGAGAATATTGAGAAATCTGTGACAACAGTGAGTTATATATTTTATTGACTTCCTCTAGTTCTGTATCATCCAGCATAGAGGACACATAATACTTTACAAAATATACCCTTGCTGTATGAAGTACCAACATTTTTAGTTTCATTTACAGAACAAATTCTGAACTTTGTCTCTGATATAAATTATGTTATACAGCAGCATTTAAAAGAGATATTAGTGATTAGTGATTTCTTTTTATAAATGCAATGTGAACTTTAGTAATATTAAAATAATTTTGTCACCTTACTATATTTATATTAAAATATGCATATGGTAATGCTTGCTATAAATTAAATCATATAAATAACTGTTCCTTTTACAGCTGGTTTGAAAACATTCTTTTGCTGTCTTTTAACGTAGATTTTAGATCTCAAATACTGTATTTTTAATTTAATAGAACACATGGCCATTTAATACTAGGAAGAAAAAGAGATGTTAATGTCATTTTCCAATAGTATTTAATCTAATATGTTAAAAATTTTAAACATATACAGCATTTGTGCATTAGCTTTAGGAAAAATACACTAGCAGTAATTATATTCTTTGCAGAAACATTTCTGAAATTAACAAAATGAGGAATATAAGTAAACCATTTTTAGGCATTGAAAAGGATAAATTTATCCTAAAAGATGTTGATTTCAGACTCAAAATACCATAAACTCTATCTGTTTCTTGGTATTTAAAATTGAATAAAGAATAATAACATCCTCTTATTACCAAGAGGACCTACTGTCTCACCCCGTGGTTAGTGTATGTGACTTAAGAAGCAATGATTAGAATTTGTAGAGATGATGCAAGTCTCACATTGACAAAAAGAAAATTTAGAAAACAGCAATGCTAAAAATAGAAATGCACACCAGGATATACTAGCAACATAAAGTTTTAATGCTTTACAGAGCTCATATAACCTGAATTTTCTGAGAATACAAGAGGAGCGAAAATAAAGGTTCATTTTTTTGATAGATAGTCTTGGTGGGATTATGTCTGCCTCACTGAACAGTATAAAACATTTGGCAGAGCATGTATAATAACCACCAATAGCATGGTTCCCAATTCACTCTTACTCAACTCCCACAGCTAGCATCTGAATCACAAACAGAATAGAAGCTTCCCAGAACTCAACCACTGGCAACATTTAAATCCCTCAGCATACTGAAGGACCTTGGGAGATTAGGGTCTTTTTGTGGAAGGGCAAACTGAAACACTTGGTTTTAATGTTTGAAATTATCATGACCTAAATTTGTTTTCACACTTCTGTTTTGTCCTTGTAGTAGAGGTGACTACTTTAACCACAGCAGGGTACTGTTGATAACTCTGGATGCTGATGCCTGTAAGGCACTGATAGATGCTTCATAAATCTTTTTCAAATGACATTCTTGATATTTGCCCACCGGGTCTCTGGAAGCATCTGCTAAACTTCTCAATTTGTCTTCAGAATTTCAACGTAATTTTTTTTCTTTCTCCTTTCTGCATTGGCAACAATTTATGTCTTCCACATAGGATGTACTTCTTTCACACTATGTGGATATTTTTAAAAGTGTAGGTACCATCACACTCGCATCAGAAGCATCTGTTAAAGTAATCACACTGGTGGGGGTGACCCCAGAAAGCACATATTCTCATAACACCTTACAAGAGCTGTAGGTAATTTGTATTTTGGACAAACATGTCAGACTTTTTTTATGTACAAAAAAGATGTATACAAACTATAACCTTTTAACCCTTTCTGATAAGCCTTCCTATATCCTGACATCGATTTCCTTCTTTTACTTGTTTCTCTCTCAGTACTCTTCAAAAAGAGAGGTGGTGACCAGTGTTGGAAGAGATGAAGCAGATGCACATCACTTCCTTTGGGAACTTGCTGAAATAATTCTTTGCATTGCATTTTCATTTACATTATGCTGACCAGTTCTCTTCACTTAGAACTTTCTTAGTTGTTCTTTTGATTCTTACTGTTGAAAACCAAGATTATGCTCTTGTGATGAAGTGTTTTCAAATATCAAAATCTGAATAATTGGGCAGCCCACTTTCAGAATCTTATCATGAAGTTTATGCTGCAAAATGTCAGTTTAAATTGAAATATTCAAACTAGTAGCAAGGTACCAATGATAAGACATCCACAGACCCAAAAGTTAACTGAATTCATATGCTATTTTTTGCTGAACTTATCTAACTGGTAGCCATACACAGCAATAAATAGGCTGGCAATTATGCATGGGGGAAAATGGAGTTTCAAGTGTGTAGTATCATGTCTATAAGAATAATATTAATGATAGCCTGAAAGCCCACTCAGATATCTCACAGAGCCTATACTCTGTAACTTAGCTATCATATATAATCTGTCCTGGGGATTTACAACCCTGGCCCAAGAATTACCAGGCATCTATGAAAATGCGACCTAGAACACCAGTTGCCCTAGAGAAAAAGACGCCTCAGCATAGGTGCAAATTTCATAGATGTTAAAACAAAGCTAACCCTTACAAGAATAACTTAAACTCCTTATATGAAATAAACATCTGATAATTGACCAGGACTGAATACAGATGTAAGAAAGGGGAAGACCTCCCCAAATTCCGAGAATAGTCTCCGGAAGGATACCCTCCCAGCTATTTGGTGGCCATGCCACCAGCCTGCTCCCACTGTCTTGTAAGAGCACTGCCACAATAAACCACTTGGGAATCAGGTGATGTCTAAGACTCATCTTTGAAGCGTATCCTACTGAAGAGAAGAAGTTGCCTCTGGAGAAGATGGTCAGCTAGGCTCACCTAAGACCCTGGAGTGCAATGGCAGAAAAGATAAAAAAAAGCATTTAATGATGATCTGATGACTAACAAAGCAACTAATAAATAAGTTAACTTTTAAAGGTAAAGATGAATCAGATGGTCAGCTTTACTTAGAAATATTTGAGATAGGTTGTCCTAATTAATTAACCAACAAACACTTATTGAGAGAAAGTGAGTAGATTGGAAGTAGACTAACATTTATTGATACTCTACTTGCATCTGGTTCTGTAGGTTTAATTTTCACAATTCTACTGTTATAGAACCTATCAAAAGCTTCAAGTAATAAGTAATATAGATTGAATCAGAATCTGACTTTGAATACTCTGTTTTTTGGATCAATTTGACTTTCCACCATTATATGTGTAAGGCTGCTGTTTCCTCACATTACCTACCTGTCCTGGCTGATTGTACCTCCTACTATTGTGTTTCCCATTCCTTAGTATCTCTGGTTTATTTTTCTTATTAAAATAAGCCAAAACTTTCCTTTTCCAGGTTTTTCATTGGTTATTTCTTTAGCCTTCCATTTATATCTCACATTTCAACTCAAATTCTCCTTCCTTAGAGAAGCTTCACTGACCACTCTAGTTACCAAAGAATGCTGTCTTCTTAATAGTATGTATCAGTGCCTGAAATTTTTTGTTGAAATTTTAATTTCCTGTCTTCTTACACTGAAATGTAAGCTCCCTGAAGCAGTAAAATAACAATGTCTATATCCCTAGTACATAAAACATTGTCCTGCACTAAAAGTCTTTCTTGTTCATGCCTTCATTCACTTTCTCATTCTCTCTCTCTCGATAGATTAGATAGATAGATAGATAGATAGATAGATAGATAGATAGATACTGAGATAGAGATATAGTGTGTATGTATCTATAACTGATGGACTGATTTTTTTAGGTAATGTTCCTTGTCAAGGAGTTGAAAATATAATTGTAAAGAAAGTTTAACTAATATATGATACAACTAACAATTAAAACAATGTATAGTATGTGGAACTCACCTACTGAATTACTGAGAGGACAGAGGGTTGCGTTATGAGGGAATCTGAGGAATACAGATATCACTTCACATTTCGTCAGAATTTCACAGTTTAACATATATTTTATTTCATTTGTGCCTCATAGGAGCTGTGTGAAATAAAGAGAATTGTCTTCTTTTTTTTTTTTTTTTTGTCAAAGAAGTCAAATGACATCTCAATCCACAAATCCAGTGGTAAGGCAAGGTTCCCTAAAGAAGATAAACTTGCTAAAAATACTACCCTCCTTTGTTTATTTTTCAGAAATTTAAATTGCTACTCTTCATTGAGAAAATTAGAGCAAATGATGAGATTTTTTAAATCTGCTACTGTGAGTACGTGTATGATATTTGATGAAGTTAGCTTGCTGAAGGCATCATAGATCAAATCCCTAAAACAAGAAACATTTTGTGGCCTTACATGTGTAGGATTGGAGGGTGTATGCATACACTTTCAGTATATTCTAGAAATCAGTGAGCTACAGTGTGATGTCATACAGATATATTTGGCCACTGACCAAAAATAAAAGCATGCTATAGAAGCATTCGTCTTGAAACAATATACTTGCCAAACTGTCTTTACATTGGAATAAGCCAATATTTTTATATTTTATATGTGCAGGCAATCAATAAAAAATTGCTAAGGAACAGAGTCTCTATTCACAGTCCTCTGCATGGGGCACGGCCCAGTACACATTAAGTTGACCTACTGCATGATGTCCAGTCAGTATTAAAAGGGCTTAACGATTAAAAAAAAATCAGATGTTTAACATGTAAAAGATAATTAATTGGTACATTCAAAGTCTCTCATTCTTTTTTGGGATCATCCTCTGTGCTTGATTTTTACCCAATATTTCAGAGCCATTTCTGCCAGTGATGAAAAACTGGAGATGAGGTTGCTTAGACACAGCAAATCCTGTATAGCCAAAGGGAAGCTGAAGGTCAAAGAGTGAATTAGATTGATGTCTTGTTCTTGTTGAAAACAGAATTTATTTGTTTTGCTGACAGAGAAGGAAAATATAAACAGTCAAGAACGGGAAGACATATTATTTTGCTATAAAATGAATTCAAGAGGAAATAACAGATATAAGGAAAAACACAGTGAATATTATTATAGGAATAATTCATTAGAATAGAGAGACAATGAACTTAAACACTTGCTAATTCTCCTGCTGAAATGGATCAAGTGATTGCTTCGACTGGAGAAAAATCCTAAACTAACCTAAATATAAATGAGTGCTAGAGGACAGGCAGAATCACATCATGACACAGACTTAAAGGCAGAGCCAGAAGTACAATAAAGTTAAGACCTGAGCTCTCCATATAAAACAAACCTTGTGTAACAAGTGAACCACCCAGGTATGTCTTTAAATTTATTTTTGAAACATTAGTTTCTGTCCTTAATTATTTTCTAATAAAAATAAAATCATTTGATAAAAGAAATACAATAATAATATCCAACGTGAATAAAGTCTGAAGACTCAGAGGGAAAATATTTTTTTCAATAACTGTAATCATCGTATTTCTCCAAAAATCTCATTTGCAAATAATATTGTGAAAAAAACAATTTTCGTGATATAACTCACAAGGCAGAAGTCTGATATAAAACATAAAATGTCCTTTTGTTTTTCGTTTTGCATTTATTTCTTATTTCATCCTGATAAAAATGAATGCATGCAGTTTTCAATATGAGCAAATAAGTTTTTTTCCATATATCCTTTAAAACTGTCTTATTCACTTCGAATCTTATAAAATATATTCATTTAAATTATATTTATAGAAAATCTTCTTGAGAAATTATGAAACTTCTAAATTTGAGGAGATAGTGACCTAAATTACTTTAAAGGTAATCTTGATCATAATAGAATGCTGCAGAAGGGCTCAAAGTTTCACTTTTAGAAAGTAATAAATTGCATGGCATTTAACAGGCCTACTCTAAATAAGCCACAGCCTTGAAAAGAAAATTGCTTTAGACACTGGTCCTCTTGCCAATGTACTGATTTCTATTATTAGCCAACATCTTCTACCGGCCCCTGTCTGGGGTCACCTTAGGTCTAGCTGAAGCTGTATCCTCAGGGCCCTGAATGGATTCAGAATCAGCATGCAACATGCTTGTGGTGGCAGTATAAAACAGTCTACGTGAGAGAATGGTCCATGAGAGCAAAATCAATGTAAGGATAAATGAATGTAGATGGGATCACCAATCCCAAATATGTTACAAGAAGAGAGTGAACAAAGTGACACGGAGACTAAGAGAAGATAAGAAAAGAAGTAGAAAGCAAACATAGGGTGAGTATTATGGAATAGTTCTTGAGTAAAATTCAGTAACTATAAAATTATAATTACTATGGCTCTATCTGTTAATGTAGTGGGCTATTTAATAAGCCAAAGCAGCAAAAACTAGGGCATTACTATGGATTAGTTCTCTGTGTGTTTCCTGAAACCTAGAGAAGATTGTAGGATATAAACTCAATTGTGTCCTAGAAACTCATTTTCTATGTTCCAGTCTTGTAAATTCTACAAGGTTCTAGAAATCTGTAGTCTAAGAGGCAATAAACCTAATTATGAATATACTAAGACTTAGTCCCTTCCAGGAAAAAGATAAAGAAAATACTAGTGAAGATTATTTCCTTATGAAATGTAAACATGGCCTTAATCTAGACTAAAATACATTTTTTCCTAAGAATTTTAGGGATTAAGATAGATTTTCTGTGGTAGTAACAGGAGCACAGCCGCTAAATTTATGCCACTAGAAGCAAGGAAGATCATAGGAAAGATATAACCTGTCAACTTTGATTCATTTTGAGAAATCAGTACTCATGTAATGACGGTAATGGTATTTATCGTATGTAAAATAAAACCATAATAAGCTTTTAAAATAGTTTAAGGTACAAAAGAGTATTTTAAAAACAATGAATTTGATCTCTTAAAATTTATTATAGTTTTGTCACGAGTTTTATTAGAAGATTTTCCATGTGTTCTTTCTGGGAGAAACTATTTAAAAAGTCCATTAACTTTTTCTAAATGTTTAATTTTTTTTTTGAGAAGGAATCTCTCTCTGTCGCCCCCAATTTTTATTTAACATGAGTTACCAAATTAGGGTCACTGCATTCTTATTAACTATGCTAGTTTAAAAAAATTTATAGAAACTTTTTAATGCTTAAATATGCCATCATATCACTGCCAACATTTGTCTCTTTTTAATCAATATTTAAAGTAACTATTTCCAGTTTTTCATTTTAATGATTTATATAGTCTTTAAAAACATTCATAATGGTTTCAGTGGAAGCCATCTCTGTGTTGATTTTTATGCTTTTATGTTTCTTTCTTTTTTTGAGACAGAGTCTTGCTCTGTCACCCAGGCAAGAGTGCAGTGGCGCGATCTCGGCTCACTGCAACCTCCACCTCCCCGGTTCAAGCGATTCTCCGGCCTCAGCCTCCCAAGTAGCTGGAACTACTACTACTACTACAGGCATGCACTAGTAGTAGTACTACGACTACTACTACTACAGGCATGCACCATCACCTCTGGCTAATTTTTGTATTTTTAGTAGAGACGGGGTTTGGGCATTTTGGCCAGGCTGGTCTTGAACACCTGACCTCAGGTGATATGCCCACGTTGGCCTCCCAAAGTGTGGGGATTACAGGTGTGAGCCACCATGCCCGGCCTGATTTTTATGCTTTTAAATGGCTTTTGGTCTCATTCTTTACAGTAATGACCGCTGTTGGTTTGATAATCAACCTTCATAATGTTCAAACAGTTTATATTTCTGCACATATTTTCTATTTAAATACTGACAAGTATTGTGGTCTTAGTCTCTTAGAGACAAAATAATCATAAAATATTTGTTAGGATAAAAAACTGTTAGGATAAAGACATAAAAATGAAGTTTTAGAAGGAAATGTAGATAACTGTTTGAAAATGTAAAATCAGTGAGACCTTATTTATTGTAGGATAATAAATAGCTATTAAAAATATACAGATTTAACACTACATGAAAATTTAAACATTTTTATAAAAAAGCTATCATTAATATGATCAATGGATAAATGACAGATTTTGGAAAAATAGCATTTACCAGAATGATTTGTAATACCTATAATAATACTAATGAAAATTAATAATAATAATACTTCAAATAGATAAGAAAAAGCATATTGCTAATTGAAAAAGACAAAGTTGTTAATAGGCAAATTACAGATGAGAAATACAAATGACCTGTAAGCATTTGGAAAAAAAAATGTTTAGGTTCATTAGAATTTTTGGGTGTAGTGGATGCAAGTATTAAAAATAATGTATTAGATTTGTACCTGATAACCTGTAGGAATTTCCTACAAGTGGTTTTTAAAGTAAAGCAAGATACATTAAAATGTGTATACAAGTATTCTATTCTTAACACACATATGCATATTACATCTATTTTTTATAATATAAAGAATTGAATGTCAGAGTACATATCAGTGTTGGAGGAAGAGAATAAGGAGGAAGCACAGAAAGTAAAAAGGAAAAATAGGCACCAAAAAAGATTTGGAGAATGGCAGATGGCCAAGGAGATGCAGCTGGGAAGTGCCTCTTCCATGGAGAGGAACCCAAATATCCAGTAAACCGTCACATTTTAAACAGATCTTTTGAGAGAAAACACTGAAAGTTGATACAGAGGTGACACAGACACCATGGTTGAAGAGGGAAGAAATGGGGCAGTCTGCTCAGAGTCACTAGACACCAGGACTGGCCCATATACCTTGAACAAACCCAAGGAAGGGGTGAGTGAAGGAACCCTGGGACACTACATACCCACAATGTACTTCTGAGATCCTAGCTACAGGAGTTTCTACGACCCCCATAGATCTTTGGACTGGTAGGAGAGCTGCCTCGAGCACATGCAGAGGCACAGTTTGAACCCACACCGAGCCCAGAAGGCTTTGTTGTGCGGTGCAGCTGCAGCAAAATGCAACCCTAGGTGCCCATCCCACAAGTCTCCATTTCATACTGAGTGGCTAAGTTCCTGCTATCTGCCAGGCTGGGAGTGAACCGTGCCTGGCCTGCTCACATGCCCAAGATAGGCCCCATCACCCATGCTGCGTGATTAAGGTACATCTGGTCCACATGCCCCCTTGCCTGTCAACGCCTTCCCAGACCTCATGCCTGACCACTCCTGCAAGAGGGTGTCCACAGCACAACATCCACTGCCCAGCTTAAGTGTTTTGTTAACAGCCTGGGAGAAGTTCACCACCCTGTCCCCAAATCATAGCCAGTGCTTAAAGCTTAGAGGCCAGAGGACAAATCAGTGAGCCCAGGCCCGTGAGCTCAGTCCCGTGAGCCCAGTCCCAACTCCCCAAGACTCCAGTACACCACGCAGGGACATTGAGCTGAGATTTGTGACCTAATCTCAAGTGAAGGAGGAGGATCCTCCACAGTCAGAATGCAGAGAAGAATGTGGTATGGGTTCTCATGGGGCATGGGAGCTGGACACCCCTCCCTTTGCAAGACCAGACAACGAAAGGTATGGCCTGATGGTCGTAGCTTTTTTTCCAGGGAGTATCCTGGCACAGAATGCCTGGAGTAGCTCAACAATGTGGGAGCAGATGGCTTGGGGAAAGCCTAGTTGGTTGGGCTTGCCGCCAGGGCGAGTGTCTGTGGGAGATCTGCTGGGTTAGGGGAGTGTGAGCTAGGCAGACACCATGGTTGCCAGCTGGGCTGAAAATCACGGGCTGCAAGCTCCATACTGGTGTTGCACCCATTGTGGCACTGCCCTGCCTGGAGATCCTCTACCCTTGAAATACTGCATTTTCTTTGTCTCTACACTTGAAATACTGTATTTTCTTTGTCTCATGTTGTGTTTTGAGACAGTACAACTCATACCTAAGTTGTGTATCACAGCAACTGCGGACATACCCTAAAACCTGCTCTGACTTTGGTAAGCACAGTAGACTGGTGGGTCTCTGGAGAGTTGTGTCCCTAGAGATGTAATCCTCAGTGTGGACCACTCCTGAGGGAAGGGGAGTGCAGCCTGCCAAAGCACACCATGAGATAAAGAAAATGTGGCCATGGCATCAGCCACTAAAAGGGTCACCACCAAGGCCCAGAACCAGACTTGGAGAAGGAATCATGTCTTGCCTCCATCTCCACTTCCCAGTGCACTGTTGCGGATGCAGCAGTAGCTCTTCCCATAAGGTCCTAGAAAGTGTGCACTGAAAGAAGTTGTTTCTCATGATGCTCCAGTGAGGACAAGCATGCACCAAGACCCCACCTGCCAGCTCTTACTCTTAAATCTGTCTACCAGATTGAAGTTTGAATTATAGCATCACATAAAAATACATTGCTAAAACAAGCAACATCTATGAAAGCCACTGCAGGAACCTATCTCTAACCAAGGAACATATATAGAAACTTCACCCCTGCAACTACCCAGAAATGAAGCCAATGAATCACATACACCACAGTCATACTTTCAAGGAGAATAAAAAATATAAAAGCCCTGTGATGGTTAATATTGAGTGTCAACTTGATTGTATTAAAGGATGCAAAATATTGTTCCTGGGTGTGTTTTGAGAGTGTTGCCAAAGGAGATTAACATTTGAGTCTGGACTAGGAGAGGCAGAACCACTCTCAATCTGGGTGGGCACCATCTAATCAGCTGCCAGCACAGCTAGGATAAAGCAGGCAGGAGAAGACAGAAGAGCAGACTTACTGAGTCTCCTGGCTTTCATCTTTATCCCATGCTGGATGCTTCCAGTTCTTCAGATTTTGGACTTTTGTACTTACACCAGTGGTTTGCCAGGGGCTCTCAGGCCTTCAGTCACAGACTGAAGGCTGCACATCAGCTTCCCTACTTTTGAGGCTTTGGGACTCGGACTGCCTTCCCTGCTCCTCAGCTTGCAGATGGCCTATTGTGGGACTTTAACTTGTGATTGTGTGAGTCAGTGATCCTTAATAAACTCCCCTTCAAATGTACATCTATCCTACTACTTCAGTACCTATAGAGAACTCTGACTAATACAAACCCCATCTAAATGAAGCAAATTCAAAAACAAAGTATCAACTCCCGCAGATGGAAAGGAATAAGCACAAGAACTCTGGCAATACAAAAAGCCAGAGTGTTTTGTGGTCTCCAAAGCCTCTCACTAGCTCCCTAGAAAAGGATCCTAACCAGATGTAAATGTCTGAAATGAGAGACATAGAACTCAGAAGATGGATGGCAAGGAAAGTCAATGAGACATAAGATAAAATTGAAATCCAATACAAAGAAGCCAGAAAAACAGTCCGAATTTGAAAGACAACATAGCTATATTAAGAAAGAGCCAAACTGAACTTCTGGAACTGAAAAATTCACTAAATAAATTTCGAAATACGGTTGGGAGTCTTAAAAACAGACTAGGCCAAGTAGAAGGAAAAAATTCATAGCTTGAAGACTGATTCTTCAAATTAACCCAGTCTTGCAAAAATAAAGAAAAAATATTTTTTAAAAAGACAAAGCCTTCAAGAAATATGGGATTATGTAAAGAAACCAATTCTACAACTTATTGATATTCCTGAGAGAAAAGAAAAAATAACCAACTTGGAAAACATACCTGAGGAAAAATTTCAAGAAAATATTCTCAATTTTGTTAGAGATGTTGACATGCATACATCAGAAATCCAGAGAACCCCTTTTATATACTATAAAGACAGCCATCCCCAAGACACATAGTCATTAGACTATCCAAGGTTAACACAAAAGAAAAAACAAATCTCAGACACAGCTAGAGAAAAGAGCAACACTACCCACAAAGGGAACCCCATCAGACTAACTGGTCTTCTCAGAAGAAACCTTACAATCCAGCAGAGATTAGAGGTCTATTTTTAGTACTCTAAAAGAAAAGACATTCCAGAAAAAAACATTCATATTCTTCAAAACTAAGCTTCATAAACGAAAGAGAAATGGAGTCTTTCTGAGTCAAGCAATCGGTAAGGGAATTTATCACCACCAGACTAGCCCTGCAGAAATGCTTAAGGGAGTTCTAAATGTGGATGTGAAAGAACAATACACACAAAAGCAGAGTTAAGTACATAGTCCACAGACTCTATACCACAGACTCTATAAAGCAACTACACAATTGAGACTGCAAAGAAACTAGCTAACAAAACTATGGCAGGAACAAAATCTCACATATAAAAGTTAACCTTGGACATAAATGGCCTAAATCCTTCACTTAAAAGACATAGAGTGGTGAATTGGAATTAAAAAAAAAAAAAAGAATCATCCATCTGCTGTCTTCAAGAGACCCATCTCATAAGTAATGACACTCATGGGTTCAAAGTAAAGGGATAGAGAAAGATTAATCATGCAAATGGAAAACAAAAAAGAGCAGGAGTTTCTATTCTATCAGAAAAAACAGATCTTAAGCCTAAAACAGAAATAAGGACAAAAAATGTTATTGCTTAATGACAAAGGGCTCAATTCAACAAGAATAATTAACTATCTTAAATAAATATGCACCCAACATTAATTGGAGCACCAAGATTCATAAAGAAATCACTACTAGACCTAAGAAAAGATGTAGACAGCCCCTCAGTAATAACTGGGGACTTCTACACCCAACTGACAGTGGTAGATAGATTTATCGAGGCAGAAATCTAAACAAATAAATTCTGGACTTAAATTTGACACTTGACCAATTAAACCTAATACACATCTACAGAACACTCTACCCAACAAACCACAAAATATATATTTTTCTCATCTTCACATGGAACATACTCTAAGAGTGATCACATATGCAGTCATAAAGCAAGTGTCAAGAAATTAAAAAAAATATTAAATAATACCAAGCATCCTCTTGGACCACAGTAGAATAAAAATAAAAATCAATAGCAAGAGGAACTCTAAAACGCAGACACAAACACACACACACACACATACACACACACACAGAAACTAAACAAATTACTCTTGAATGACTTTCATTTGGGTAAACAAGAAAATTAAGGCAGAAATCAAAGAACTTTTTAAACAAATGAAAACAGAGACACAATGAACAAAAACCTCTGGGATGCAACGATAGCAGTTTAAAGAGGAAAAATTATAGTGCTAAATACATCAAAAAGACAGAAATATATCAAATTAACAACGTAACATTGCACCTAAAGAAATTAATAAAACAAGAAAAAAACTATATCCAAATATAGCATAAGAAAATAAATAACAAAAATAAGAACAGGACTGAACAAAATCGAGATTCAAAAATCCATACAAAGGATCAACAAAATGAAAAGTTGGTTCTTTGAAAGTTTAAACAAAATTGATAGACTGCTAGCAAGATTAACAAAAAAGAGAAGATCCAAATAAGCACAATCAGCAATAACAAAGGCAACATTAGATCCAGTCCCATAGAGATTCAAAAGATTCTCAGAGACTACTATGAACATTTCTATGTGCACAACTAGATAACCTAGGAGAAATGGATACCTTCCTGGAAACACACAACCTCTCAAGATTGAACCAGGAAGAACTTGAAACACTGAACACACCAACAATGAGTTACAGAATTGAATAAGTAATAGAAGTCCGGGACTAGATGAATTCATAGCTGAATTCTACCAGACATACAAAGAGGAGCTCATGCCAATCCTACTGAAACTATTCCAAAAAATCGAGGATGAGAGATTCTTCTCTAACTTACTGTACAAAACCTATATCATCCTGATACCAAAATATGGCAAATACACACACACAAAAGAAAACCCTAGGCCAATATATCTGATGAACATAGATGAAAAAATCCTCAACAAAGTACTTGCAAACCACATCCAGCAGCACATCAAAAAGATAATACAATATCAAGTGAACTTTATTCCTGGGATGCAAGGGTTGTTCAATATATGCAAATCAATTAATGTGATTTATCACATAAAGAGAATTAAAAATGAAAAAAATAAGATTATCTCAACAGATACGTTAAAGTATTTGATAAAATCCAACATGCCTTCATAATTAAAACCCTCAGTAGACTAGGCATTTAAAGAACATACTAAAATAATAAGAACCATCTATTGACAAACCCAGTCTACATTATACTAAATAGGCAAAAGTTGGAGGAATTCTCATAAGAACAAGAACAAAACAAGAATATCCACTTTTACCACTCTTATTCAACTTAATACTTGAAGCCCTAGCCAGAATGATCGACCAACAGCAAGAAATAATAGACATCCAAATAGGAAAAGAGGAAGTTAAATTTTATTTCTTCACTGATGATAGGATTCTATACCTAGAAAACCCTAATGATTCTGACCAAAGACGCCTAAAGTTGATTAAAAATTTCAGTAAAGTTTTAAGATAGGCAATCAACATACAAAAAGCAGTAGTATTTCTATACAATGCAATGTTCAAACTGAGAACCAAATCAAGAACACAATCCCATTTATGAGAGCCACAAGAGAAAAAAATGAAATACTTAGGAATACCTCTAACCAAGGAGGTGAAAGATCTCTTTAAGTCGAACTACAAAACACTGCTGAATGAAATCATAGATGACACAAACAAATGGAAAAATATTACATGCTTATAGATTGGAAGATTCAACATCATTAAAATGTCTTTACTGCCCGAAGCAATCTACAAATTCAATGCAGTTCCTATGAAACTGCCAAAATCATTTTTTACACAGAATTAGAAAATTGATTCTAAAATTTATATTTAACTAAAAAAGAGCCTGAATAGCCAACACAATCTTAAGCTAAAAGAACACAGACAGGGGCAACACATTACCTGACTTCAACCTATACTACAAGGCTACAATAACCAAAATAGCATGGTATGGGTACAAAAATAGACACATAGACCAATGGAACAGAATAGAGAATCCAGAAATGAGGCCTCATTCCTACAACCAACTGATCTTTAACATAATTGATAAAAATGCAATAGGGAAAGGATACCCTATTCAATTAATAGTGCTGGGAAAACTGGCTAACCATATTCAGAAGAATGAAATTAGGCTCCTGTCTCTGACCATATAAAAAAATTAACTCAAGATTGATAAAAGACTTAAATGTAAAACTTTAAACTATAAGAAGCCTAGAATTAGACCTAAGAAACTCTTTTGGACATTGACGTAGGCAAAGAATTTATGACTAAGTACTAAAACACAAAAGCAACAAAAAACAAAAATTGACAAGTGAGACCAAATTAAACTAAAGAGCTTCTGCACAGCACTTGCATGTTCTATTGCAAATATGAAATAGCAAAGGCATGGAATCAACATTGGTTTCCAACAATGGTGGATTGTATAAAGAAACTGTGATGCATATATACCATGGAATACTATGCATCCAGAAGAAAGAATGAAATCCTTTCCTTTGCAGTAACATGGATGTGCCTGGATGCCATTATGCTAAGCAGATGCTGGGACACAAGAAAAATCTTTAAGATATGTCACTGCTTCTTATCAATAATAATGTTCTAGTGAGTAACAAGAGTTAAGAACACCACTAATTATAGTACTGTAAATATAATTACAGTTCTAATAAGACATACACACACAGAGAACAATTTTGTCTGGTGGTTGAGGAAATCTTCATTGATTTAAGATATTTTTTGATGAACAGGATTTTTCAATAACTATCAGACGAAGAATGTCTATGACTTATTTTTAAAAACTATTTTCTTCTCTGCCTTGCATATCTGACATTTTCATCTCCTATCTTCCTTGAATACAATATAGAACCTGACATTTCTTTCCTTTCAAAGATCCTTAAAACATTTCCTACATTTAATCTGAATGTCTTTCTCAGTAATTTTTCTTATACAAGCAATTATGGCTACATTTTCTTAATATAATCATGAAAAAGTGAGCAACTGAAAATTTAATCTGGAGAATATATATGAAACATATTCAATTAATTCAAGTTGTTGTTAGGCTGCATATGTTCAGCTTTCAGTGAAGGTGATTGATAAATGAGAAACTGAAAGAAAACAAACCAATAGGTGTTTTTCAGAAACAGTATTATTAAAATGCATGTGCTTTCTACTGAATGAAAGCAATATAGACTTTTTCCTCGCATTGGTAGTTAGTAAGGTGTATAAAAACGACTTTGTAAAGAACAATTAATATAGGTTAATGAATCACTGTGAAGAGGGGATAACACTTTATTCTAGCAATGATCTGCAAGGTGTTAAAAGTTAAAAAAGATGAAAAACAATTGAATAGTTATTTCATCATAGTGTTTATTAAATTGATTTTCCTGTATCTGTCAAGCTTTACAGAAATGTCTTCAACAGAATAACAGTGTTGGAAGCCAAATGAAATGCATTATGAAATATGATTCTTCACTTGGTATGCAGGTATACTCTCAGGTGTTAACTCAGGCAAAGAGACAAATTCAATTTTAAAGTTCCATTTGTTAAAATTTGATGATTGTGATTAAAGACCCATAACAATTCTATCTTTGACATTTTAGTTTTTTCTTCACAGAAGCATTCTACTGCAATTTTCTTAGTTTTCTTTCCTCTTAACTGTGGTATTACCCATAAATGCTGGATTTCTCTGTTTTAAGTGTAACAAACCTACAATCAACTATTTCTGGAACACCACTTCATCTTAACAACAAGGACCCATAAATATTCTAAAAATTCAAAGTGTTTTATATAAAATGTTAAATGATACACATAATAAATTTCTAAGTAGTAATTATGATTATGCCCATAATTATACCCATAATTTAAAAATATGTTACCTGAAGTAAATTATTACATATTTTATGTTGGAAGTATTCATTTATCTTTGATCTCTTTTAACACACTGTACTAGGTGGTAATAAAATAAACTGCCTTATTGGGTAGTCATTTATCTTTTGTTTCATATTTTTTACTGGACTAATATTCCAACGCTATAGATAGTGAAATATAACATTCAAACAATTTGATAGTAGTCAATGAATCCAGTTTTTAAAAATGGGATCCATTTTCTAAAATTGAGTATATAGATACTTCATGAAATGTCTTATCATACATCCTAAACCAAACCAACCTCTTCCCTTGACTGTCTTACAGTGCGTTATTATTTTATCCACTGCAGCAACTAGCACATTTTTCAGAACCTAGTAGATATTCAGTCATTGTCTATGGAATACATGAACACATTCTAAATTTGGACAGTCATCATTCTTGGTGTTTTAAAACAAACACTTCCTGAATTGCACAAACTATTTTCTAAATAGCCCTGGGAATTCATTGAAGGAAGGTATGGGTAAGTTGGGGGTCAAACTATAAAGATGTAGGTTCTCCTCTCAAAACTTCTTCAGCGTATCCTCATTGTTGTTTGTTTGCTTGCTTGCTTGTTTTGAAAGATCTAGATATAGTCTAATGAGAGTTGTATAAATGTGATGTTCCACAATGATTCTAACTTACATGGTGCAAAATAATAAAATATTACATTCTAGCTGTTTGTGGAAAATCAGGGATAATATAAAGGATCTAGATTTTCTCTCTCCTCTCCTCCTAAGATTTATTCACTCAGCAAAGTTACCTGGTGACTACTTACTGCTAGACACTGTTTTAGATACTTGGGCTATAACGTTGATAAGAACAGGGCTTGAATTAGTGAAAAGTTTATTTTAATTAGCTGTATGGCAAAATAGGAAACTAACAAAAATAAACATATAACATGTCAGATGGCAATGGCTGCACTGAGAAAAATGAAGGAGAATAAGAAGTTCTAAATTATTATATATGACCAATATTACCAACATATTATAGAAAGAAATGAGTTCATAATGTTTATCAGAGAATTTCATGAAAATCACTAAATTTTTCCAGAAAGCCAGGCACTGATAAGGGAATAAACAAACAGATAACCGATTTTAATTTGATCTTCTCTTACAAGTGCAGCTATGATCTGCCATTGTATATAATTTAAATTTTAAAATTGTTTATATTTCTTTCACATAATTATGTTCTTACATTTTGTTTGTTTGTTTGTTTTGAGACAGAGTGTCGCTCTGTCACCTAGGCTGAAGTACAATGGTGCGATCTCGGCTCACTGCAACCTCCACCTCCCGGGTTCAAGCGATTCTCCTGCTCCAGCCTCCTGAGTAGCTGGGACTATAAGCAGGAGCCCCCACGCCCGGCTAATTTTTGTACTTTATTAGAGACAGGGTGTCACCAAATTGGCGAGGCTGGTTTCGAACTCCTGATCTCAGATTATCAGCCTGTGCCTCAGCCTCCAATAGATGCTGGGATTACAGGCGTGAGCCACTGTGCCTGGCCAATATTCTTACATTTAAAGATCAGACATCTATCAGATTCCCTTCTCCCTGCTACAAACATTGTATACTTTTCCATAGGCACAAGATTTTGTTTTCATTCAGGTTGGACTCAACAAGTATTATTTAGCAGTTCATTGCATTTATCCATTTACCCAATAGAGGAAGTATAAAAGATACAGATGAATAAAGTGTAATAATTCTTATACTCACTATTTGCCCTTACATCATGTAAGTGCTCAACTGTACAACATGTTTGTGTTCCCAAAACCTAACTGGAAGGGATAACTCAGAAAAATAGAATAAAAGTATTGTATATCTCATACATCTTCATTTTAGAATATTGTAGGGGTACAGATCAGTATAAATAAAATACTTTGGTAAGTGCCCACCACATCATCTGTTTGTCATCCTTAGAGCCAGATTATACCATTCTCATTAAGAAAGAAAACTTACTACTGTACCTCCTACCCAGTAACATATATATGATATATATATATCATATATATATATTTTATATATAATATATTATATATATATATAAAACATTTGCTACTGGTTAGGAGTAACACTCAGAAAATCATACTTAATAATGTAGTACAATTGGGTATAAATTCACCTAGTATTTTTAAATTTTATGTATATTCATATTTATATGAATCATCATTTAAAATCATGTCTACTGATCCTGATGGCATTAAAGGCATAAGAGGTACCGAGGATATTAATTTAATTTTGTTTACAGCTATGCACAGATATTTTTAGTTCACTCAGATTTAATCCAGTAGTCTATTATTTGATTAATTGTACAGCTATCAAATCATTCAGGACTCCCACTGTTTCAACAAGAGTGGAAAAATATTTTTTCATTTATGTTTATATGCAGCTATTTGTAGTCTAAATTAATATTCTGGCAATTGATGGTGAAATTAAAATTATTTCTGTCAGATATGGTAATTTGATGACAGTGGATAAGCATGGGAGTAAGAGAAAGTTTTGAGGAAGAGGGGTACTTTTTGTTTACTTAATGATTATTCAAAAGATGTTAAGTAAACATTCTATAGAATGCTACAGATAGTGGAATACAACATTGAAACAATTTAATAATGCAGTCAATGAATCCAGTTTTTAAAAATGGGATCCGTTTTCTAAAACTGAGCATACAGACACTTCATGAGATGCTTTATCACGCATCCTAAACCAAACCAACTCCTTCCCTTGACTGTCTTACAGTGCATAGGGTATCTCTACATTCTAGGAAAGGAATTATCTGTTTATATGCCACTTATAAAATCATACTTAATAATATAGTACACTTAGGCATAATTTCACTTAGCATTTTTAAATGTAAAATGTTAACGAAAAGTGTTCTTGAAAAATATTTCTGAGAATATTTTCTAAAAAATGAACAAATCGTAACACCTAAGGGATGATATCTTTCTAGTGAATTGATTATCAGAGTATAATGTGGTATGTTCTGATTATGTTACATAATATTCTGATTAGCAGAACATTTTAAATAAGTGAATTTAGCAAAATATTTAGAGGTTAAGGAAACTGTTTTACACTGACTATGTTTTCTGACCCAAATGTGAGAAAGAACCCAATAAAAAGAGGCAGCCAGATAATGCTGTTGTTTGTGAACTTAAACAGAAGCTTGCATGTAATTTATTGTTCAAAGAAAAATAAAAATAGAAGTTATACTTTATTTAGAACTTAATGACAGTGAAAATTACATAAAAAGGAAGACTACTGAATACAGCAAAAGCTGAAATTATATAGGAAATATAAATATAAACACACAAAATAAGTGTAAATTATAATGAAGTAAAAATATATCAAAGAGAAAAAAGGAAGTAGTACAGTAAAAAAAAAAAGGTGATGCTTTAAAAACTGTAATTAAATAGACAAATTTCCAGCCAGATTGATGACCAAGTAAAGAGAAAAGGAAGGAGACAGATCAAAAGACACAAGATGATGAATGAAAAGGGGGTCAGCACTTATAAATGTAGTAGCAATGTAAGCCATAATGAGCACAAGAAAACATTATCAACTTAATTTTGAATATATAAAATAGAGACACTTAAAAAAACTGAACAAAAACAACTTACTAGTTTTAAAAGAAAAAAAAGTCATCAAACATATATCCTTCCAAAAGTATAGACTTCAAAAGTATAGCCCCAGATGGGTGAACAACTTCAAAAGTACAGTCCCGGATGGGTGAACATAAACCACACTTTAAGCAAGAACTCTCAGTTATAACTGCTTGCAATTTTAGAGGATAACAGCCACACTCCTGAACCAGAGCTTGGCACCGGCTATTCCCTCTGGAACACCCTTTTATTTCCTTCTCTAAGCAAAGACATGGAATCAATCTAAATGCCCACCAGTGGTCTGCGGGATAAAGAAAATATGGTATATAAACATCATGGCATACTATGCAGCTATAAAAAAGAACAAGATCTTGTTCTTTGCAGGGATGTGGATGTAGTTGGAGGCCATTATCCTTAGCAAACTACCACAGGAAAAGAAGACCAAACACTGCATGCTCTAACTCATAAGTAGGAGCTAAATTATGAGAACACATGGACACATAGAGTGGGGGACAGCACACACTGGGGCTTTTTGGAGGGTGGAGAGTTGGAGGAGGGAGAAGACAAAAAAAATAACTAATGGTTACTAGGCTTAATACCGGGGTGATGAAATAATCTGTACAACAAACCACCATGATACGAGTTTACGTATGTAATGAACCTGCACTTGTACCCCTAAACTTAAAAGTTAAAAATGAATGAAGCCTGTCAGAACCACCCACTTTGTAGTCTTACATTTTCCCTAGTATTCCCAAACCCCTTTGCCTAGTCAACATTTTACAAAGCGCTTTTCATCTTCTACTGTGTTATAATTTATATATTTTTAGTGTATATTTTACACACTTTATTAGAATATGAGTTCCTTCAAGGTAAGGACTGTTGTTTGTTTTGTGCTCCCTGATGTATTTTCAGAGCCTAGAACAGGGCCTGGAATAAAATAAGCAGCCAACACTATGCGATGAAAATTTTTTGGTGGGTATAAATGCCTTTGATTCGAAACAAAACTCAGTTTAATTGTGTGTGTGTGTGTGTGTGTGTGTGTGTGTGTGTGTGTGTCTAAAGTCACCCTAAGCACACTGTTAATAACCCTAGAATGACTGACGTGTTCGTATTATGCAATTTTTTATTTTTTTCATCATATTGACAGATAAAGGATTCTAATTCCTATACCTTTTCAATAATGCAGAAGCCTTCATAACATTTAAATTCCATTCATGGTAAAGATTCTTAGCAAATAAAGAATAAATTGAACCTTGATCAATTACTTTAAAGTAGTTATAAAAGACCTATAGTGAATATCATACTTCAGTATTAGAAGCTTTCTCTTTAAAATAAGGAACAAGACAAATAATTGGCAACATGACTTCTTTTCAAATTGCACAGCATTAGGGATCCAAGCCATAAAAGAAAATAAAAGACATGTGGATCATAAAGAAAATATAAAACGTTACTTACAGACAATAAAGTTGTCTGCATAAAGATTATAAGAGAAAGCTAAAAACTATTACAGTCAAAAAGAGACATCAGCAAGCTTGGTGGAAACAAAACAAACAAGTACAAGTTGTCAGTGACCTTTCAACAACCAATTAGGAAAAAAATATATATATACGTTAAATCTTAACACTGAAAAGCAACAAAAATATGGAAACAGTGCTTCTTATATGCCAGATTCTGATTGAAATATTTTACAAGTTTAACTCATTTAATTTTCCCAGTGATTCTTGAGGTAGAGGCCATATTTTTCTTAACTTTAATAGATGCAGAAACTGAAGCACAGAGAGCACTTGACTTGCCTAAGGTAAAAGTTAAAAGGCGGCAGATGTAGAATTCATTCACAACAATCTAGATCCAGAGTATTTCTTGTGCCCCTGATGATATGCCAATTCTCTGGACTCTATCACTAACTCTATTAAATGATCAAGAACTTGAAAGAAAAAAATATTTAAATTAGTCCATGAACAGGAAATGTCCAAGTCATAAACCTAGTAATATTTCCCAAAGATAATGCTTAATAGTGGTGTCATTACAACCAAAATACTAAAAAAATGTGCAAGCCAATCTCAAATATGTGGGAGAGAAAACCCAATACTAATTTGAAGAGGATAAAAGAGCAAGGCATCTCCCTTGCTGACAGAAAGGCTTCTTATAACTACAACATTCATACTGAAATGCTATTATACTAGATCTAGCACTGAAACAATCCAGGCCACTACAAATGAATGAAAAATGAGTCCAGAAAAACACAGATCCATATATGAAAATTTGTTTTATAACAGAAATTGCATTAACAAATCAGAGGTTAAATTTTAAAAACCATAAAATATTTCAGACAATTAATTATTTATGTGGAAAAAAGTAAAGTTGACTCATTATCCTGCCCAGTACACAAAAATCAATTCCAGGTGGACTTAAAAACATAATGCAAAAGCAAAACTTTAACATAATTACCAAAAATGTAAGTCATCATCTTTATGGTATTTAAATAAAAAAAAGACTTCTTTAAAAAGACACAAAGAAAGCAAAACCCATAAAGAGAAAAACTGATACTCTTGAAGATGTTCAAGTTTAAAACTCATGCAAAATAGCACCAAAAACAAGGTGAAAAGGAAGCTTCACAGAGGTACTAGATAATTCTGCTATGTTTAACTAGCAAATAATTAGTATCCAGAATAAATAAGAAAGCAATACATCACTAAGAAAGTGACACACAACCCTATAGAAAAATGGGAAAAAATATGAATTGGTAATTCACAAAAGAGAAAATCCAACTGAATACTAAATATTATAAGAGAATGTTGAACAAGTCAAACTATTAAAGCAATACAAATTAAATTGCCAATAACATTATTTTATTCCCATCCTATTGAAAACAATTAAAAATTCTGAATACCATGTGGTGGTGAAAATGTGATTTCATGAGTATATAGCAATTTGGACAGCAAACTGACAGCATGTGAGATAGTTGATGATATTCATATGACCCAGAAATTCCACTATTCTAGAAAATAATCTTGTACATATATATAATAAAATCTATATAAGAATGTATACTGCAACATTTTAAAATTCAATTAAAGATTAGAAAAGCTCTAAATGTATCAAAACAAAGAACTTGAAAAACAGATTATAAATAAATTTATACAGTGGAAGTCAGTAAACTGATAAATCACAAAAACATAAGTTTGAGTAACAACATCAAGTTGCAGTAGACATGTTCAGTATATCATTTCCACAAATTAACAAAATAAATAGTGCTATATTTTTATGGCTATAACACATAAAGGAAATATACATATGACTTTCTAGATAGGTATTATTTCTTGTATCTACAAGTAGAAAATGGGGTTGCGCAGAGAGGGTGATAGCTACAATTGCTTCTGTAATTATTCTCTTTAAAATGATCTGACTCACAAACTTAAGAGCTGGTGGAAATTCAGCACGTTTTTTTTCCTCTTTTTCTCTCCCTGAAAAGCATGGAGGTGTTGTCACTCTCTTCCTGAGTCCCTCAGTGAGCAGACGTAGAGAAAAATACCCTAACTGATCTGGAAGTGGAAGATTTAAGTTAAATAACCTTCAGGAAAAAAGGCCTTAAACTGTTTTAAGGCACTAATATTAAGGTGGTTTCATTGTTACAGGATAACCTAGCATACGCTGACTGCTATTAGAATTCCTGCCATGAATCCTAAAATATATGATATAGTCTTAGTGATCATTGGGTGAGTGGCAAAGCAACTATAACTAAAGCTGAAAGCATGGTAATACATCTTCCGCAGTGACAGGATATTTGATAAGACTTTCACCAGCAAAAATATGGAAGGTACATGACATTCCTAATAAAATTGTAGTTCCAAGAGAAGGATGGCCAGATTTAGCAAATAAAATTGCAAGGCATTCAGTTAAATTTGATTTCCAGATATAAAACAGATATTATTGTTTAGTAAAATTTCCATGTGATATTATACTAAATGATTATACATATTTGTACTAAAGAAAAACAGTGTTGTTTACCCGAAATTCAAATTTAACTGGTTTTCTGTGTTTTACCTGGCAATCCCATCAAGAGGGAGACGTTGTGAAATAGAAAAGTAGCAATATTTCTTGGTTACTATAAAAGTTATTTAACAAGACTTTATAAGGGAACATGAAGTCAGAGAAGGGGGCAAAACACTAGTCATTTTAAAAACTAGGTGGGGAAATTTGGAAGTAGAGGTGACCAGATTTCACAGAAGATTGTAGGGTGAGAGGAGTATAGAGGAAGCCAATATAATACATCAAGGTTTATGGTTTGAAAAATGGAAAGATGGAATATCAATTACCTGAAATGAAGAAAATAGCACACATTTGTAATTTGAGTTGCTTATTAGCACCCAACTAGAGATATCAAATAGATAGTTGAATATCTACATCTTTGAATTCAGGAGAGAGATTCAAACTGAAGACATAAATATGGACATTGACAGCATATAGATGACAGTATACTAAGTTTATAAAGATAAAATAGTAATAAAAGCTAATATTAACCTCTTTTGTGTCAGTCCTTGATGTAAATTTTTTTATGTGTTAACTCACTGAGTCCCCACAATAGGTCGATGTAATTGGTTCTACTATAACTACACTCTTTAAAAATGGATATTTTAGTAAAAAGAAGGACTCAATTTATACTCACCCTCAATTTGTAGCCATTGGTGTCATCTCTAAGACAATTTTTAGTAATTGCCTAGTCAGTGAACCTTGCCATAGTCCTTAGTTATGTAAATTTATTGTATTTTTTGGAATTCCTTTTCATTAGCCATAACGCTTTAATAACATATTTTTAAAATTTTGACTTTAACATCTATATTGTAGTGAATATTTAAAGAACTTCCTCCAAGTTTAGGATACAGAAATGGGTAAATTATGTCTACTCCCTCATATTTCACTATTAAGATGATGGTAAATTAGCAGTCCAAGAGATCATGGTCCTGAAAGTACAGAGAAAAAAATAGAACCCAGTGACCCAACATAACTAAGGAGCATATTTGAGACATTGTCATTCTTGGTATTTCTGAAGAAGCACTGGGATGGAAGGGAGTTGAGATCATTTTGTCAGCTACAGCACTAAATTTTGGTCATGAATATCAAAGTGATTCCATCTTTATGAGGAGCCTGTGGAGAATGGCAACATGCTATATGTATACATTTTAGAATGGATTAATTGCCATCTGCGTACCTTTTATCAGGTTATTCTATTTGTTCAGCATGCCCCAAGATCTCTTTTGTACTTTACAAATCTGCACTTCAATTCTTCTTAGTTCGAGACTCACTTCAACCTACCGCATCCTTAGTTTTCTGCACTTACTTGTTGTTTCTAAAAAAGTATACATGATATTATACAATAAACATCTAGAATTATACATTTATGTACTATATTCACAGAAATTGGACTTGCCTTTAAGCCCTCCTTTTTACATATATTCCTGTTATTGTCTCACTGCTAAGTAATATTACTGGATGGCAAAATAAACCAAAAAACACAAATTGATTTTAATGAAAAATATCAATATTAAATATTAGCTTAAATAACACAAATAAGTAAATATTGAAATAGATGGGCATGTTAGGCTGGGCAGCTTTTTGTGGGCACAATCATACAATTTCAACTTCAAATTCCATCATATAACAGGATGTTCTATTGGTACAATATCTCCTTGTTCACATGAGGAAATTAAGTATATTGATATTCACCGAACACCAATTTTTAAATGTATTTGAAATTAATTATTTTAAGTGTCTCTCAACTCTCCCAATAGTGCACAAATATGTAGTTATGCTATATACTAATAATTAAATAACTTTGGAAACTCACAACTTCAAAAAAATGTTCGCTGTTGTGGAAAGTTTCCGCAGTAGAGAAGGGAATGTGAATGGTATCAGTCTTAGATAACAAGAAAACTACTTTACTTTGTTTCAACTCTACTCATTTGCCATCCAAATATGATAGAAGATGCTGCTCATTCCTAACAAATATTTCCAGATATCATGCATTCCTTAAAGGAGATGATACTGATTGCCCTCTCTATTTTCACTCACTTTCCCATTACAATTAGCAGCAGATTCTTTTAATTATCCCTGCCCTTCTTAAAGCAGTCTCAGATATATAAAAATTAATTGCCTGGAACTCACATCTTTATAATTTTAACCTTTTCATGCTTCACTTATTTACGGTGACATTTATCTAAAACACTTATCAGGTGACTGCGCATGGTAGACATCTGGTTTATCAGAAAAGGCAGGAGAAAAAATAAATGTAGGACATTAAGCTTGCTATGGTGCTTTGAGACTTTCCTAGAAATCGTTAGCTCATCAAAACTTGTTTTGGCATGGCAGAAAGACATGTCCCATTAAAAGGATATTAATGCAAGATCACCATTGTCATTAAACCATCATACCATATATTACACATTTATGCTGAAAATGGGTTCAAACTTTTTATTCCCTTATCCTTTAATTATTAGAAGAAACTTTGCAGATTATAGCCAGATAATTTAAAATAATAAAATCAATGTCACTTACAAGGTCACAGGATTTAGTAAAACCCTGCTACCCATTTCCTTTTAAGTAACTTCGCATTTTAGAAATGAAGACTGCCTATTCATGTGGCTTCTGTGATTTTGTTAAACATTAATTAACAAAATTTCTAGTTTTTTTTTTTTTTTCTTCTAGAGCAGTTCAGTGGAATGAAAGACCTTTTTTATCCTATGCCTCTAACCACAACCGGGTGTCTCTATCTTAAAAGATATTTATCAAGTCTCTGCTTCATATTTCCTTCTCTACACCATTACAGTCCTCAGCAAGCCCTGCTATCTCATGATCGCAAATCTTGGCCCTTTATTGTTGGTCTTCTTTCTTTCATTGCTACATGTTAGAATAAATGGTGTAAGAGAATGCTTTTATCTATTCAATTTCTTTCTCTTTGGCTCCTGACCCACTGTCTTTGTTTCAGAATAATTATCAGTGCCTATATATTACCTTCACATATGAGGCCTTTGTTCGTTTCATTCTTTCCATCTCAATTTTCTGTACATTCGTATTCTCTAAAGTCTTCATCTCTGTCAATTGTTCCCTTATCTCCCTCAAGTGGACACTGTCGGCTTTTCGTAGATGTTCCTACTCAAAAGAGATCTTGCAAGCCAGTATTTTACATTAAGTAATTGTTCTATTTCTCGACTTTTGCTGGCCTATAAATATAACACATATAAAGGTAGCCATTGCAGGCACAGTAAATTATTTGTCTATGAAATCACAATGTTTGCCCCAGTATCTTAATACAACTCTCAAATTTATATAATTTTTTAATTTAAAAATTTAAAAATAACTTTGCTTAAACAAAGGCAGTTTGTTTTCTAACTTATCTATGTGTGTATGTATATATACACAGAAATGTATATGTATACACACATATATATTCATAAATTATTGAAAGTTTCATGCAAATTTTTTACTTTGCCAATATGCCCCAAAACTTGATATGAAATTAATTATACGAAGGAGTACAGCCTTGTCTTTAATTAGCTAGAAAAATTCTCAGCCCACTTAAATAAACTGTTCCCAACTTGGGGAGATAAATTTAAATATCTTATCTTGGCAACGAACTTATAACCCTTAAAAACATTTGCTATGGCATCTATATATTATATTTCCCTTGATGTGAAAAATAAGAAACATTTCAGAAAAACCCACAATTAAAGAATATCACCTGGCATCATGTCTAAAAATGTATAACAGTAAAATAGAAAAGATTTGTGGATATGACAACAATTCTGCTTGCTTTCAAAATTATTTTTTGCTTTGTTTTTTGCAAAGCCTAATTAAATTAATATATGAATATTGAGTCTATTAATCTTCTCTCTTAAAAATTCAAAGCACTATTTTAAAGTAAATTATCTTAGGAATATTATCTAAGAATGAACTTCATGTGGTAAATACCAGCATAAGTCATTACTAAATGTGTTTAGGGTATACAATGGAAGCAGAGTCTGCTGCTAGGAAAAATTGACCTTTTGTTTTACAATTTATAATTTATTTAGTGCAGTATTTGAAAATCATATTTAGATATAACAGGTGACAAGAGAGCTCTATACTAGGAAAGATAATTTTAGTACTACCATCTATAAAAGAGACTAATAAATATGAAATGAAGATGCTATAATTAAACTGTAACTCTTGCCCATGCCAGCCCAACATAACTATTATAAAATTGTACATAACTATCAGGCTGTTAATTTGAGGTAATATTGCAGGCACTACAAAAAAAATTCAGTAACTCATCAAAACTATTTTCTTATGAAGGTAATAAAAGCTACAATACCTGCCCATGTCAATTATTTAAAGGTGTTCGAAGCAAATTTCTTAAATAATTTAATTTCTGGAGCCAGACATAACAGTTGACTTTGTGCTCTTTGACATTTACTACTACAGACTGTTGCTAAGTCCAGGCTTCAAGAACTCTCCTGCATTTATTCTTTTTAAATCAATGGTACAAATTATCTAACTAGCTATATGTGACGACAGCAGTGGTTCTCAGTTTGGTTTTAACACCACCTGGAAACCTGCAAAGTCTCAGGTTTCACCCCAGGTCTACCGAATCAGAAACACTAGGGATAAGCCCCAACAATCACTGTTTTAGTAGGATCTTCAAGTGATTTCAATGCAGGTTAAGTCTGAAAACACTGGAAAAGAGGAGAGAAAAAGAGAGAGAGAGAGGAGAGATGGAGACAAATTCCCAGACCATACACTGCACTAGAAATAGAGTGTTAGGACTTTACAACAGGTTCAAAATTTTAGAGATGAATTATAGCTGACATTTGAACACAAAGGAAAGGAGCCCATTAGTCCAGGGAACATCTCTGATTATAAACAACTTCATTTCCTGCTTAGGTATTATTCAAATGTATATTTAACAGTATAATGCTTCTCTACAATCAAGTAAAGCTCAAACAAATTTAAGATGTCTTTTTTTTTAATGTTGTATGTTGATGAGATTTAAACTAATAGAGGCTTAGCTCAATTGGTGATTAAGGTGATGAGTCTGCCCTGGAGGTGGAAATAAATATTTCATTAGACTTGTGATGAATTCTAGATAATTTTGACACTACTAGAATGATTTTGAAAGTCTGGATGATTTTTGACCAAATATAGACCCAAATACAAATATTGTGAATAAAAGTATTGCTAGGATTTAGAAACTTTAACAAGTTACATAATGTTTAAATTCATGATTTCTGTGGGTAATTTGTGGTCAGTGCTTTGGGGGGCAGAATGTTAAAGAGATTTCTATATGAGATTATGAGTAAAACTTTGTGACAAACAATTTGAAAAAATAGTTGAAAAGAAGAATTCAGTAGGTAAAGTTAAAAAAGTAGACCTTACTATGAAAAAAAGAGTAGGGATATATAGAAAATTTAGATATTACGAGTTGAATGTGTGCAGACTTCCCAAGATCTATGAATGCTATAAGGACCACTACAGTTGATAGCGTAGAGAAACTAAGGCAATATTTATGCAGTGTTTTAGAAGGCCACAGCTCCATTCCATTACTATCTGATGATATTTTAGCAAAGCTGGACTCTGCAGTATCCTTTTTTGTTTGAAGAGGAATAGTAGAAGGAGCATTTGTCACTCTTATTTCACCTTCAACTTCTCATTATTTCCCATACACGCTCCTGTTACAATTCTTGGGAAATAATTAAAATAAACTTACAGCCTTTTATATGGGTAATTTAACCATATTTACTAGTGTTTAAATGATTCAACCACTGCTAGGCTGTGTAGAAAATACAAGTACTGGTAGTTGTGTGAAAGTTAGCTGAGTTTAGATAAGAGGTGGCCTGAAAAGTCAAGTCTCACTAGAGCACTGAGATTTTAAAACTATTCTCTGGGAACTAGCTAGCTAGCTAGCTAGATAGATATAGATGTTTCTCAATAACAACAATAAAGAAAATTATTTCTTCATGTATTTATTACAATAAGCAAAATATTGACTAATAAAAACACAAGAAAGGAAAAATACTAACAAAAAACATCCTGAATACTCTATATACTAAAGTGTAATACCAAAATAAAAATTAGACACTTAGCATTTTCTGTGAGATAAAATAGACCAAGCAATGAGCCTCGCTTGATGCTTCATACACCAGGAGAGCTGGAAGGATGCACAGGTTCAGTAAAAACATGCCAAAATTAACATGAGAAGACATGATTTTATTTACTTATTTATTTATTTTTTAGAGACAGGGTCTCACTCTTTCACCTGGGCTGGGATGCATTGGCACAATCAGAGTTCACTGGAGCCTCAAGTTCTTGGGCTCAAGCCTCCTGAGTAACTAAGACTACAGGTGCATGCCACTATGCCCAAATAATTTTAAAAAAATTTTTAACAGAAACGGAGTCTCACTAAGTTGCTCAGGCTGGTCTTGAACTCCTGGCCTCAACCCATCCTTTCATCTCGGCCTCCCTAAGTGCTGGAATTACAGTCATGAGCCATGGTGCCCGGCCTAATAAATGATTTTCAATAAATTATATTTAACAAAATGGATTAGAATTAACCAAAAAATAAAACTAGTAATTCAAAGCTTTAAGGAGTGGATGTAGGTATGTATCTACGCATGGATGTCTGTTAATTTTGTTTCTTTTTAAATCAGAGAAAACAAATTTGAAAAGATGCTTTGAAAGTAGCTGCCTTCTTATTGTAATTGTTTTACCAAATAGCAAAGTCTAGTTCTTCAAAATTGTCAGAACCTGTTATTTATACTCCATTTATTCTTATGATTGGGCAATGTGTGGCACATTTAAGGATTATTTTCCAGTATATCATAAATATATTAACAATGTGACACTTTAAGGATCTAAGGAGGACTGAAAATTTTATCTGAGGAATTCGTTAGTCTATCACAGAGGTAGCTCTTTGATACCTAAGTCATCACCTTTTATAGAACGTAACATAAAGGTTGAAGTTTTCACAGAATAAGTAATACTGTGAATTTTCAGATAGAGTGTAAACTCCTCTGGGTTGGCTGGCTTTTCTGTCCTTACAGAGCTGCCCATTGTGGTCAAATTGACCACATGAGAAGTTGATGATGCAGTTATGCCATGCATAGCAACCGCAGCAGGCCTTCCTCATTCCAATGTAAATATTCATTATATGAAGCATTATCTAAGACCCTTTTGCCTTGAAAGAGAGAGTAAAAAATTAATCAGGAGTAGAGTCTCTAAAATATTCATTTCCCTGGTTCATGGAGTCATACAAGCTTCTTTATCATCTCAGCATTTTAGTCTAGTCCAAAAGCCCAAAGACTAAATAAAGTAATTGATACATGGCATCCATGAAAATAATACAAGTAAAATATGGCTTTATGTTGACTATGCAAATTTCATATGAAAGAAATTGTTTCCAAGAAACTTAACTCAATAAAATTTAAACCATAAATATTTTTCACCAATTTTATTCAATAAATACTTACTGAGAACCTACTGTTTCCTGGCCTTGTTATACTTGTTTGGAATTCATTTGAGAAGTCAACCATATAATACTTCATGACATTGGTCTAGGCACAGGTTTTTTTGGATAAAAACTTAAAAGCACAAACAGTGAAAGAAAATTTAAAGGCATCTTAACAGAAAAAAAAAACAATCAGCAGAGTAAAGAGACAACCTAAGAACAGGAAAAAATATTTCCAAACCATGTATCAGATAAGATATTAATATCCAAAATATATAAGGAACTCAAACAACTCAATAGCAAGAAAACAAATAACCTGATTAAACAATGGGCAAAAAAATCTGAATAGATATTTCTCAAAAGAAGACATCAAAATAGCCAACAGATATATGAAAAATATATTTAACATTACTAATCTTCTGGGAAATGCACATAAAAACCACAATATCATCTCATCCCAATTCGAATATTATCAAATAGACAAAAAATAACAAATAATGGCGGGGATGTAGGAAAAGGGAAACTCTATTACACTGTTTGTGGGAATGTAAATTAGTACAGTGTTTATGAAAAACAATATGGAGGTTCCTCTAAAAATTAACAATAGAACTACCATATGATCCAGTCATTCTACTACTGGGTACACATCCAAAGGAAATGAAATCAGTATGTCTTAGAGATATCCACTTCCATGTTTATTGCAGCACTATTCACAATAGCCAAGATATGAACCAACCTAATTGTTCATCAACTGATAAATGAATAAAGAAAATGTGGTATATATACACAATGGAATACCATTCAGCCATAAAAAAATAAATCCTGTTATTCAAGGCAACATAAAAGAACCTGAAATGAAATAAGCCAGGCACAGAAAGACAAATACCACTTGATCTCACTCACATGGAATTTAAAAGAGCTGATTTCATAGTAGAGAGTAAAACAGCAGTTGCTAGAGACTGAGAAGTAGAGTGAGAAGGAAAGATGGAGAGAGACTGGTCAAAAAATTCAAAGTTACATTTGCACAGGATGAATAAGTTCTGGTGCTTTATTGCACATTAGAGTGATTATGGTAAAAAGTATTGTATTGTATGTTTCAAAATACTTAGAAGAAAGAATTTTGAATGTTTTTACCACAAACAAAATGATAACTGTGTGAGATGATGGATATGCTGTATACCCTGAAAAGATTATTACATAATGTATAGATGTAGGAAACATCACACTATACCCCATAAATATGCATAATTATTATGTGTCAAAAACAAAATTTTTAAAAGTTAATCACTCTCTAATGAAAGTATCTTTTGGCTCCTAGACACCTGATTTTTTTTTTCCATTTTGCCAAAAGTCAAATTCTACATACTAAAACAAAGAATTTATTGTATCCTTTCAAAACAATATATTTTAATAGCATCTATAGATTCATCAAGCAATGATGTAATGAACACAATAAAAGCTTGAGTAATCTAACTACTTTACAATAGAAATTGTAATGTTTTTGTTTTTGTTTTGTACGTTCAATCCTCTGAAAAACATGACTCTTCCTGATTTTTTTTTCTTTTTTGAAAGGAGTCTTGCTCTATTGCTCAGTCTGGAGTGCGGTAGCACGATCTCAGCTCACTGCAACCTCCGCCTCCTGAGTTCAAGCAATTCTTCCTGCCTCAGCCTCCAGAGTAGCTTGGATTACAAGCACCACCACCTTGCCAGGCTAATTTTTGTATTTTTTTAGTAGAGACGGGGTTTTGCCATGTTGGCCAGGCTGGTGTTGAACTCCTGACCTCTGGTGATCCACCCACCTCCCAAAGTGCTGGGATTATAGGCGTGAGCCACTGTGACTGGCCAATATTTTAAATGTTAATGTCTATCATTATATTTTCTCATTCTCTTTTGCTGTACTTATTAAATGGTCTATTATCCTAGAAAATAGGTAAGAAGATGAAAAACAAACCAGTAGCATAAGATCTGAAACTGATTGATAAGTTATACATTAAATATATGATTTGATTTGCTTAAGACCTCTAGTATTTCTATTCCTTTTTTAATTTTTAGAGTTTCAAAATTTCATTATAATTTTGGTTAAATTTACTGACTTCTCAAAACTTCTAAAGTTTAATGAACTATATACCCATCAGTGTATTAAGCAGAAAAATAGTTTAGAAAATTGTCACCAAAGTATGCACTTTGTATCTGAAAACAATAATGAGGCTTCTCTCTGACCATTAATCTTGGGCTTTTATGACACACAACAATTTTACTATTTTGTTTATTTGCTTGGTTTATAGTACATGAAGACAGAAATATTATAGTTTCTGTTTCATGTAGCACATTTCTTTAAAAATGTGTTTTAAAATGCCTTTTTTTCTGCAAAACTGAATTCCAGTACCTAATTTCTCTGTTACTTTGGTGGGCCAGGAGTCCTGCCGAGAAGAATATTGATGTCTCTCTCATCAGAGGTTTTTGATAATGTCAGGTTTCCAATATATCCTAGGGGTATATTTTTACCTTTTTAAAACAAAATTTATTTTTGCCTATTTTTTTCGTTCTAAGGCTCTTTATGACAGGACTATTTAAAGCACTGAGGACAAGACAAGATGTTTATATATACTTCCTGCTGTTTAATATTCATGCAATTCTGACAAGATTAATATACTAATTTCTCTGTCATTAGTTTCATTAACAGATATTAATTATATCTGAATCTAAATGCCAAATGAATAGACAGTTGGGATTCAATTCTATTTAAGATAATCGAAGTTCTCTTTACAATCATGATTGGGGTGGCATACATACCATCTATTCTGGTTAGAGATGGACTCTGGACGCTAGATAAAACACTTGGGATTAAAACACTTATCCTAGAACTTATCATTATAGGCACTTCACATAATGGGGGAAACTGAATATTTACAATAACCTTTTGGAATAGTTGATGATGATGATGATGGGAAAGAGAGAGAGAAAGGCCAGGTGTGGTGGCTCATGCCTGTAATCTCAGCACTTTGGGAGGCTGAGGCAGGTGGATCATGAGGTCAGGAGTTCAACACCAACCTGGCCAACATAGTGAAACCCCATCTCTACCAAAAACACAAAAATTAGCCAGGCATGGTGGAGTGTCTGTAGTCTCAGCTACTTGGGAGGCTGAGGCAGGAGAATCATTTGAACCCAGGAGGGAGAGGTTGTGGTAAGCCGAGATTGTGCCACTGCACTCCAGCTTGGGCATCAGAGTGAGACTCCATCTCTAAATAAATACATAAATAAGAGAGAGAGAGAGGAGAGAGAAACATCCTTTTTTCTGGTAAAATTTAGAGACTAGATTGTCCAATGAAGATGGCTGAATAGGAACAGCTCCGGTCTGCAGCTCCCAGTGTGACTGACGCAGAAGATGGGTGATTTCTGCATTTCCAACTGAGGTACTGGTTCATCTCACTGGTTGAATAGTGGGTGCAGCCCACGGAGGGCGAGCCACAGCAGGGTGGGGTGTCACCTCACCCAGGAAGCACAAGGGGTCAAGGGATTTCCCTTTCCTAGCCAAGGGAAGATGTGACATACTGTACCTGGAAAAATGGGACACTCCCGCCCAAATACTGTGCTTTTCCCAAGGTCTTCGCAACTGGCAGACAAAGAGATTCTCTCCTGTGCCTGGCTCGTCAGGTCCCACACCCACAGAGCCTTGCACACTGCTAGTGCAGCAGTCTGAGATTGAACTGCGGGGCAGCAGCCTGGCTGGGGGAGGTGCGTCTGCCATTGCTGAGGCTTGAGTAGGTAAACAAAGCAGCCAGGGAGCTCGAACTGGGCAGAGCCCACCACAGCTCAGCAAGGCCTACTGCCTCTATAGACTCCACATATTTGGGCAGGGCATAGCTGAACAAAAAGCAGCAGGCAACTTCTGCAGACTTAAAAATCCCTGTCTGACGCTCTGAAGAGAGCAGTTGTTCTCCCAGCATGGCATTTGGGATCTGAGAACTAATAGACTGCCTCCTCAAGTGGGTCCCTGACCCCCGTTTAGCCTAACTGGGAGACACCTCCCAGTACGGGCTGACAGACACCTCATATAGGCAGGTGCCCCTCTGGGATGAAGCTTCCAGAGGAAGGATCAGGCAGCAATATTTGCTGTTCTGCAGCCTCCACTGGTGATACCTAGGCAAACAGGGTCTGGAGTGGAACTCCAGCAAACTCCAACAGACCTGCAGCTGAGGGACCTGAATGTTAGAAATAAAACTAACAAAGGAATAGCATCAACATCAACAAAGCAGAAAGGAATAGCATCAACATCAACAAAAAGGACATTTATACCAAAACCCCATCTGTGGGTCACCAACATCAAAGACCAAAGGTAGATAAAACCACGAAGATGGGGAGAAAACAGAGCAGAAAAGCTGAAAATTCTAAAAACCAGAGTGCCTCTTCTCCTCCAAAGGAATGCAGCTCCTCACCAGCAACAGAGCAAAGCTGGATGGAGAATGACTTTGATGAGTTGACAGAAGTAGGCTTCAGAAGGTCAGTAATAACAAACGTCTCCAAGCTAAAGGAGCAAGTTTGAACCCATTGCAAGGAAGCTAAAATCCTTGAAAAATGGTTAGACGAATGCCTAACCAGAATAAACAGTGAAGGGAGACCTTAAATGAACTGATGGAGCTGAAAACCATGGCACAAGAACTTTGTGATGCATACACAAGCTTCAATGGCCAATTCGATCAAGTGAAAGAAAGGGTATCAGTGATTGGAGATCAAATTAATGAAATAAAGTGAGAAGAGAAGGTTAGAGAAAAAGGAGTAAAAAGAAACAAACAAAGCCTCCAAGAAATATAGGACTATGTGAAAAGACCAAATCTACATTTGATTGGTGTACCTGAAAGTGATGGGGAGAATGGAACCAAGTTGGAAAACACTATTCAGGATATTATCCAGGAGAACCTCCCCAAACTAGCAATGCAGGCCAACATTCAAATTCAGGAAATACAGAGAACACCACAGACACTCCTTGAGAAGAGCATCCCCAAGGCACAAAATTGTCAGATTCACCAAGGTTGTAATGAAGGAAAAAGTGTTAAGGGCAGCCAGAGAGAAAGGTCGAGTTACCCACAAAGGGAAGCCAATCAGACTAACAGTGGGTCTCTCAGCAGAAACCCTGCAAGCCAGAACAGATTGGGGGCCAATATTCAACGTTCTTAAAGAAAAGAATTTTCAACCCAGAATTTCATATCTAGTCAAACTAAGCTTCCTAAGTGAAGGGGAAATAAAATCCTTTATGGACAAGCAAATGCTGAGATATTTTGTCACCACCAGGCCTGCCTTACAAGAGCTTCTGAAGGAAGCAGTAAAGATGGAAAGAAACAACCAATACCAGCCACCTCAAAAACATGCCAAATTGTAAAGACCATGGATGCTATGAAGAAACTGCATCAGTTAACTGGCAAAATAACCAGCGAACATCATAATGACAGGATCAAATTCACACATAAAAATATTAACCTAAAATGTAAATGGGCTAAATGTCCTAATTAAAAGATACAGACTGGCAAATCGGATAAAGGGTCAAGATCAATCAGTGTGCTGTATTCAAGAGACACATCTCACATACAAAGACGAATATAGGCTCAAAATAAAGGGATGGAGGAAGATCTACCAAACAAATGGAAAGCTAAAAAAAGCAGGGGTTGCAATCTTAGTCTCTGATAAAACAGATTTTAAACCAACAAAGATCAGAAGAGACAAAGAAGGCCATTACATAATGGTTAAAGGGATCAATTCAACAAGAAGAGCTAACTATCCTAAATATATATGCACCTAATACAGGAACACCCAGATTCATAAAGCAAGTCCTTAGAGACCTACAAAGAGACTTAGACTCCCACACAATAATAATGGGAGACTTTAACGCCTCACTGTCAATATTAGACAGATCAACAAGACAGAAGGTTAACAAGGATATCCAGGACTTGAACTCATTCATTTGAACTCGCACTTATAAAATTGACCACATAATTGGAAGTAAAGCACTCCTCAGTAAATGTGAAAGAACAGAAATCACAACAAATTGTCTCTCAGACCACAGTGCAATCAAACTAGAACTCAGGATTAAGAAACTCACTCAAAAATGCACAACTACAAGGAAACTGAAAAACCTGCTCCTGAATGACTACTGGGTAAATAACAAAATGAAAGCAGAAATAAAGATGTTCTTTGAAACCAGTGAGAGAAAAGACACAACATTCCAGAATCTCTGGGACACATTTAAAGCAATGTGTAGAGGGAAATTTATAGCACTAAATGCCCACAAGAGAAAGCAGGAAAGATCTAAAATCAATACCCTAATATCACAGCTGAAAGAACTAGAGAAGCAAGAGCAAACAAATTCAAAAGCTAGCAGAAGGCAAGAAATAAGTAATATCAGAGCAGAACTGAAGGAGATAGGGACACAAAAAACCCTCCAAAAATCAGTGAATCCAGGAGCTGGTTTTTTGAAAGGACCAACAAAATTGATAGACCTTTAGAAGACTAATAAAGAGGAAAAGAGAGAAGAATCAAACAGACACAATAAAAAATGACAAAGTGGATATCACCACAGATCCCACAGAAACACAAACTACCACCAGAGAATAGTATAAATACCTCTATGCAAATAAACCGGAAAATCTAGAAGAAATGTATAAATTCCTGGACACATATGCCCTCCCAAGACTAAACCAGGAAGAAGTTGAATCTCTGAATAGACCAATAACAGGATCTGAAATTGAGGCAATAATTAATAGCCTATCAACCAAAAAAGGTCCAGGGCCAGACGGATTCACAGCCTAATTATACCAGAGGTACGAAGAGGACTTGGAACCATTCCTTCTGAAACTATTCCAATTAATAGAAAAAGAGGGAATCCTCCCTAACTCATTTTACGAGGCCAGCATCATCCTGATACCAAAGCCTGGCAGAGACACAACAAAAACAGAGAATTTTAAACCAATATCCCTGATGAACATTGATGCAAAAATCCTCAATAAAATACTGGCAAACCAAATCCAGCAGCACAAGAAAAAGCTTATCCACCACAATCAAGCTGGCTTCATTCCTGGGATGCAAGGCTGGTTCAACATACACAAATAAATAAATGTAATCCATCACATAAACAGAACCAATGACAAAAACCACATGATTATCTCAATAGATGCAGAAAAGACCTTCAACAAAATTCAATGGCCCTTCATGCTAAAAACTCTCAATAAATCAGGTATTGATGGGATGTATCTCAAAATAATAAGAGGTATTTATGACAAACCCACAGCCAATATCATACTGGATGGGCAAAAAATGGAAGCATTCCTTTTGAAAACTGGAACAAGACAGGGATGTCCTCTCTCACCACTCCTTTTCAACATAGTGTTGGAAGTTCTGGTCAGGCAAATCAGGCAAGAGAAAGAAATAAAGGACATTCAATTAGGAAAAGAAGAAGTTAAATTGTCCCTGTTTGCAGATGACATGATTGCATATTTAGAAAGCCCCATTGTCTCAGCCCAAAAATTCCTTAATCTGATAGGCAAATTCAGCAAAGTCTCAGATACAAAATCAATGTGCAAAAATCACAAGCATTCCTATATGTCAATAACAGACAGAGAGCCAAATCATGAGTGAACTCCCATTCACAATTGCTACAAGGAGAATAAAATACCTAGGAATCCAACATACAAGGGATGTGAGGGACCTTTTCAAGGAGAACTACAAACCACTGCTCAATGATATAAAAGACACAAAAATATGGAAGAAAATTCCATGCTCATAGATAGGAAGAATCAATATTGTGAAAACGGCCATACTGCCCAAGGTAATTTATAGATTCAATGCCATCCCCATCAAGCTACCAATGACTTTCTTCACAGAATTGGAAAAAAACTACTTTAAAGTTCAAGTGGAAATAAAAAAGAGCCCGCATTGCCAAGACAATCCTAAGCAAAAAAGAACAAAGCTGGAGGCATCATGTAACCTGACTTCAAACTATACCACAAAGCTACAGTAACCAAAACTGCATGGTACTGGTACAAAAACAGATATATAGACCAATGGAACAGGAAACTGGGCTCAGAAATAACACCACACATCTGCAACCATCTGATCTTTGACAAACCTGACAAAAACAAGCAATGGGGAAACGATTCCCTATTTAATAAATGGTGCTAGGAAAACTGGCTAGCCACATGTAGAAGGCTGAAACTGGATCCCTTCCTTACACCTTATACAAAAATTAATTCAAGATGGATTAAAGACTTAAATGTTAGACCTAAAATCATAAAAACCTGAGAGGAAAACCTAGGCAATACCATTCAGGACATAGGCATAGGCAAACACTTCATGACTAAGACACCAAAAGCAATGGCACTAAAAGCCAAAATAGACAAATGGGATTGAATTAAACTAAAGAGCTTCTGCACAGCAAAAGAAACTACCATCAGAGTGAACAGGCAACCTACAGAATGGGAGACAATTTTTGCAATCTACCCATCTGACAAAGGGCTAATATCCAGAATCTACAAAGAACTCAAACAAATTTACAAGACAAAAACAAAAAAACCCATTAAAAAGTGGTCAAAGGCTATGAACAGATTCTTCTCAAAAGAAGACATTTATGCAGCCAACAGACACATGAAAAAATGCTCATCATCACTGGTCACCAGAGAAATGCAAATCAAAACCACAATGAGATACCATCTCACACCAGTTAGAATGACAATCATTAAAAAGTCGGGAAACAACAGATGCTGGAGAGGATATGAAGAAATAGGCACACTTTTACACTGTTGGTGGGAGTTTAAATTATTTCAACCAGTGTGGAAGACATTGTGGCGATTTCTTAAGGATCTAGGACTAGAAATACCATTTGACCCAGCAATCCCATTACTGGATATATACCCAAAGGATTATAAATCATGCTACTATAAAGACACATGCACACGTATGTTTATTGCAGCACTATTCACAGTAGCAAAGACTTGGAACCAACCCAAATGTCCAACAATGATAGACTGGATAAAGAAAATATGGCACATATACACCATGGAATACTGTGCAGCCATAAAAAAGGATGAGTTAATGTTCTTTGCAGGGACATGGATGAAGCTGGAAACCATTATTCTCAGCAAATTATCACAAGGACAGAAATCCAAACACCACATGTTCTCATAGTTGGGAATCGAACAATGAGAACACTTGGACACATGGCAGGGAACATCACACACTGGGGCCTGTCAGAGGGTGGGGGGCTGGGGAAGGGATAGCATTGGGAGAATTACCTAATGTAAATGACGAGTTAATGGGTGCAGCAAACAAACATGCCACGTGTATACCTATGTATTCAATCTGCACGTTGTACACATGTACCCTAGAACTTAAAGTATAAAAACAGAAATTAGAGACATTTTCTGCCTCAAATAGATATAACGCATGTTACTAATTTATTAAGCAGAACTCATCAAGATGCCAAAAGATAAAAATCTACTAAATCAATGATATAGTTACCAAAAGTCACCCTGTATAATTCATGGATTTAGGACATGATTAAGTACATACTTAGCATAATTGAAAGGTGTCCACCTGAAAGCAACAGTAATCACACACACACAGACACACACATGAGTCAATCTGTCAAAATTACACACCAAGCTTTTAATTAATTCATCAATTATACATCAGTGTTTCTGGATTATTAGAATTATTTTGACACATTAAAAAGTAAACACTCCTAATTTAACTCATATTATTTTTGATAAAGGCATTGTGGTATGCCATCATTTCATAATATACACTGAAACATATTCAAATAAAATGAAACTATATCTGAGACATGCTTCAAGTAATTTGGGAAGAAAGGATGGGAGAAGATATAGTTGGTGCAAGTATGCCTATGAATTGGTAATTGTTGAAACTGGGTGATAAATTCATAGTGTGGTCATGATGGTCTTCTGTTTTTTTGTATATATTTGAAAATTGCTATATAAACATTTTTGAAATACAAATTCTTAGGCCACATTCCAGTCATATTGAATTAGAATACCCTGGAGTTGAAGCTTCAAGTGAGAGGTGAAGCCAGCTGAGCTTCTGGGCCGGATGGGGATTTGGAGAACTTTTGTGTCTAGCTAAAGGATTGTAAATGCACCAATCAGCACTCTGTAAAATCACACCAATCAGCATGCTGCAAAATGGACCAATAAGTGCTCTGTAAAATGGACCAATCAATTCTCTGTAAAATGGACCAATCAGCACTCTGTAAAATGGGCCAATCAGCAGGATGTGGGCGGGGCCAAATAAGGGAATAAAAGCTGGCCACCAGAGCCAGCAGCGTCAACCTGCTCGGATCCCCTTCCATGCTGTGGAAGTTTTGTTCTTTGGCTCTTTGCAATAAATCTTGCTGGTGCTCACTCTTAGGGTCCACACCACCTTTAAGAGCTGTAACACTCACTGAGAAGGTTCATGGCTTCACTCCTGAAGTCAGTGAGACTACAAACCCACTGGAAAGAAGAAACTCTGGACGTATCTGAACATCCAAATGAAGAAACTCCGGACATACCATCTTTAAGACCTGTAACATTCACTGTGAAGCTCCGCGCTTCATTCTTGAAGTCAGCAAGACCAAGAACCCAGTGGAAGGAACAAATTCCAGACACATTTGGCAACCACGAAGGGATAATCACCAAGTAGTGAGTACCATCGGACCCCTTTCACTTGCAATTCTGTTCTATTTTTCCTTAGAATTCAGGATCTAATTATCGGGCACCTGTCGGTCAGTTAAAAGTGGTTGGTGGCCGGGCGCGGTGGCTCACGCCTGTAATCCCAGCACTTTGGGAGGCCGAGGCGGGCGGATCACGAGGTCAGGAGATCGAGACCATCCCGGCTAAAATGGTGAAACCCCGTCTCTACTAAAAAATACAAAAAATTAGCCGGGCGTAGTGGCGGGCGCCTGTGGTCCCAGCTACTTGGGAGGCTGAGGCAGGAGAATGGCGTGAACCCGGGAGGCGGAGCTTGCAGGGAGCCGAGATCCCGCCACTGCACTCCAGCCTGGGCGACAGAGCGAGACTCCGTCTCAAAAAAAAAAAAAAAAAAAAAAAAAGTGGTTGGCACGGCCACTGGAATAAAAACACGGGTGTCAGGCATTCTAGGAAAGGGCTCTCTTACAACCCCTGACTCTTCGGGGTTGGAAGCATTGATTTGCCTGGAACCAGCTTCCACTTTTCTTGTACTTCTGGGCTGAGCCGAGGGTAGACAGAGTGGAAAGCCATTCAGCTCCAGGGTCCCAACAACAAGTTGGTTGACCCTGAGGCTGAGCGGAACTCTCAAAGACATGTCGCCTAAGGGAGACTCGCCCATCTCTCCTATCTATCCTGACCCTTGCCTCCTGGGTCCTCATGCCTGTCAGACAAACTTCCTCTTGCCTCTCTTCTCTGAGGCTAGTCTCGCTTCTAAAAACCACTCCCTGTCTCTGGTGCTTTTCTAGTTTCTCGTATAAGAATGATTTCTAGCATAAACTTTAGGACTCTATTCCCTTCTTTAGGCACCCAGGCTCACCAATCAGAAAGACATAATTTTTGCCCAAAGCCCCATCGGAGGAGCCAGACTATCTTATCTGGAATTTTAGGACCCCTCCTCAGGCTAGCAGGCCTAACAAAGGCTATTCCTGAAGCTAGGATATGGGGAGCCTCAGAAATTGTATCCTTGCTATTCATATAAGTGAGGACAAAAGGCATCACTCTTCCAACCCTGGAGATCTCTTCCCTCTCTCAGGGTATGGCCCTCCACTTCATTTTTGGGGCATAACATCTTTATAGGGCATGGATAAAGTCCCAATATTAACAGGAGAATGCTTAGGACTCTAACAGGTTTTCTAGAATGCATTGGTAAGGGCCAATAATCCGACCTTCCTCATTCCTCCTTGTGGTCTAGGAGGAAAACTAGTGTTTCTGCTGCTGTGTTGGTGAGCGCAACTATTCCCATCAGCAGGGTCCAGGGACTGTTGTGGGTGCTTGGGCAAGAGGGGTTTCTGCTGCCACGTCAGTGAGTGTAACTATTCTGATCAGCAGGGTCCAGGGGCCACTGTGGGTTCTTGGGCAGGGGGAGAAACAAACAAAACAAAACCGCAGGTGGTTTTGTCTTTCAGATGGGAAACACTCAGGCATCAATGGGCTCACCCTTGAAATGCATCCTAAGCCATTGGGACCAATTTGACCCGCAAACCCTGAAAGAAAGGCAGCTCATTTTTTTCTGCACTATGGCTCGGCCACAATATTATCTCTCTGTTGGGGAAAAATGGCCACCCGAGGGAAGTATAAGTTACAATACTATCCTGCAGCTTGACTTTTTCTGTAAGAGGGAAGGCAAATGGAGTGAAATACCTTATGTCCAAGCTTTCTTTTCATTGAAGGAGAATCCACAACTATGCAAAGCTTGCAATTTACATCCCACAGGAGGACCTCTCAGCTTACCTCCATATCCTAGCCTCCCTATAGCTCCCCTTCCTGTTAGTGATAAACCTCCTCTAATCTCCCTTGCCCAGAGGGAAATAAGAAAAGAAATATCCAAAGGACCACAAAATCCCCCAGGCTATTGGTTCTGTCCCCTTTAAGTAGGGGGAGGGGAATTTGGCCCAACGTGGGTACATGTCCCCTTCTCCCTCTCCGATTTAAAGCAGATCAAGGCAGACCTGGGGAACTTTTCAGATGATCCTGATAGGTATATAGGTGTCCTACAGGGTCTAGGGCAAGCCTTTGATCTTATTGGAAAGATGTCATGCTATTGTTAGATCAAACCCTGGCCTTTAATGAAAAGAATGTGGCTTTAGCTGCAGCCTGAGAGTTTGGAGATACCTGATAGCTTAATCAAGTAAATGATAGAATGACAGCTGAAGAAAGGGACAAATTCCCTACTGGTCAGCAAGCCGTGCCCAGTATGGATCCCCACTGGGACTTCAACTCAGATCCTGGGGACTGGAGTTGTAAACATCTGTTGACCTGTGTTCTAGAAGGACTAAGGAGAATTAGGAAAAAGCCCATGAATTATTCAATGATGTCCACCATAACTCATGGAAAGGAAGAAAATCCTGCCTTCCTCGAGCAGCTATGGGAGGCCTTAAGGAAATACACTCCACTGTCAACTGACTCACTAGAGGGTCTATTGATCCTAAAAGATAAGTTTATTACCCGATCAGCCACAGATATCAAAAGAAAGCTCCAAAAGTGAGCCCTAGGCCCTGAATAAAATCTGGAGGCATTATTAAACCTGGCAACCTTGGTGTTCTATAATAGGGACCAAGAGGAACCGGCCCAAAAGGAAAAGCGAGATCAGAGAAAGACTGCAGCCTTAGTCATGGCCCTCAGACAAACCTACCTTGCTGGTTCAGAGAGGACAGAAAATGGAGCAGGCCAATCACCCAGTGGGGCTTGTTACCAGTGTGGCTTGCAAGGACACCTTAAAAAAGGTTGTCCAATGAGAAACAAGCTGCCCCCTCATCCATGTCCACTGTGCAGAGGCAATCACTGGAAGGCACACTGCCCCAGAGGGCAAAGGTTCTCTGGGCCAGAAGCCCCCAACCAGATGATCCAACAACAGGACTGAGGGTGCCTGGGGCAAGTGCCAGCTCATGTCATCACCCTCACTGAACCCCAGGTACGTTTAACTATTGATGACCAGGAAATTGACTTCCTCCTGGACACTGGCATAGCCTTCTCAGTGTTAATCTCCTGTCCCAGATGACTGTCCTCAAGGTCCGTTACCATCCAAGGAATCCTGGGAGAGCCTGTAACCAGGTATTTCTCCCACCTCCTCTGTTGTAATTGGAAGACTTTGCTACAGATAGTAAGTATGCTTATCTAATCCTACATGCCCATGCTGCAATATGGAAAGAAAGGGAGTTCCTAACCTCTGGGGGAACCCCCATTAAATACCACAAGGAAATCATGCAGTTATTGCATGCAGTGCAAAAACCCAAGGAAGTGGCAGTCTTATACTGCCGAAGCCATCAAAAAGGGGAAGGAGAGGGGAGAACAGCAGCATAAGCTGCTGACAGAGGCAGGGAAAGACCAGCAGAAAGGAAAGAGAGAAAGAGACAGAAAGTCAGAGAAAGAGGAAGAAACAGAGAGACAAAGAGGAGGAGACAGAGAGAGGAAGAGACAGAGACAAAGAAGAAGTCAAAGAGTGAGAGAGAGGAAGAGACAGAGAGACAGAGAGTCAAAGAAGTAAAGAGAGGAAGAGACAAAGAGGGAGTCAGAAAGAGAAAGACAGACAAAGAAGAGAGAGACAGACAAGAAGTCAAAGAGAGAGAAAGAGGGAGATAGAAGTAGTAAAGAAAAAACAGTGTACCCTATTCCTTTAAAAGCCAGGGTAAATTTAAAATGTATAATTGATAATTAAGGGTCTTCTCTGTAACCCTATAACACTCCAATACCACCTTGTTGTCAGTGTAAACAAGGGTGTAGCCCAAAAGCACTGAGGCTACTGACAACCCATAGCCTTCCTATCAAAAATCCTTAACCCAGCAGGTTTCCAAACAGGGATCTAAATCTTAATGAATTACCATACAAAGGTCTGACCAGATCTAGGAGGAACTCCCTTCAGGACAGGAGGATAGATGGTTCCTCCCAGGCAGTTAAGGGAAAAAGACACAATGGGTGTTCAGCAAGTGATAAGGAAACTCTTGTAGAAGCAGAGTTAGGAAAATTTCCCAGTGATTGGTCTGCTCAAACGTGCGAGTTGTTTGCACTCAGCCAAATCTTAAAGTACTTACAGAATCAGGAAGGAGCTATCTATACCAATTCTAAGTTAATATGGACTGAACGAGGTTTTCATTAATAGTAAAGAAAAATTATAATCCCAAACTTACAAGGCTTTCAACTAAAGTTTGCTAAAAGTTAACAGTGTAATATGTATTATCCTGCTACCACACACTCTTAAAGGAATTCTCAGACAGTTTGCAAGAAATAACGAAATCTATCCTTACTCTACAATCCGAAGTAGACTCTTTGGCAGCAGAGACTCTCCTAAACTGCTGAGGCCTAGACCTCCTCACTACTGAGAAAGGAGGACTCTGCACCTTCTTAGGGGAAGAGTGTTGTTTTTACCCTAACCAGTCAGGGATAGTAAGAGATGCTGCCAGGCATTTACAGGAAAAGGCTTCTGAAATCAAACAATGCCTTTCAAACTCTTATACCAACCTCTGGAGTTGGGTGACATGGCTTCTCCACTTTCTAGGTCCGGTAGCAGCCATTTTGCAATTACTCACCTTTGGGCCCTGTATTTTTAACCTCCTTGTCAAATTTGTTTCCTCTAGGATCAAGGCCATCAAGCTATAGATAGTCTTACAAATGGAACCCCAAATGAACTCAACTAACAACTTCTACCGAGGATCCCTGGACTGACCCACTGGCCCTTTCACTGGCCGAAAGAGTTCCCCTCTGGAGGACACTACAGCTGCAGGGCCCCTTCTTCGCCCCTATCCGGCAGGAAGTAGCTAGAGTGGTCATCGCCCAATTCCTAACAGAAGTTGGGGTGTCCTGTTTAGAGGAGGGATTGAGAGGTGAAGCCAGCTGAGCTTCTGGGTCGGATGGGGGCTTGGAGAACTTTTGTGTCTAGCTAAAGGATTGTAAATTCACCAATCAGCGCTCTGTGTCTAGCTAAAGGATTGTAAACACACCAATCAGCACTTGGTAAAATCGCACCAATCAGCACTCTGTGTCTAGCTAAAGGATTGTAAATGCACTAATCAGCGCTCTGTAAAATGGACCAATCAGCAGGATGTGGATGGGGCCAAATAAGGGAATAAAAGCTGGCCACCTGAGCTGGCAGCGGCAACCTGTTTGGGTCCCCTTGCACACTGTGGAAGCTCTGTTTTTTCACTCCTCACAATAAATCTTGCTGCTGCTCACTCTTTGGGTCTGTACCACCTTTAAGAGCTGTAACACTCACTGAGAAGGTATGTGGCTTCACTCCTGAAGTCAGCGAGACCACGAACCCACCGGAAGGAAGAAACTGCAGACACATCTGAACATCCAAAGGAAGAAACTCCAGACAGACCATCTTTAAGAGCTGTAACACTCACTGTGAAGGTCTGTGGCTTCATTCTTGAAGTCAGTGAAACCAAGAACCCACTGGAAGGAACAAATTCTGGACACACAAGTTCCTAGGCTTCATCCAAAACATTAAATCAGACTCTTTGAGGTAGAGTAAGACACATATTTACAAGCTAGTTATGCAAGTTATGATCCAGGTAAAACACTAATCGATTGTATCCAAAATATAAGTCTTCTATCATTCTGTTGTACAAAATGAATGAAATCTCTAAAATATTTCTTTAGGAACCAACACAAAGATATTCCATTGTACTAAGTTTGTTTTCTGGAAAACAAACTCTCAGGTAAATTTGCATGTATGATGTTTATAAGGGAATTAACTTTTAATTAATTATGAGAGGGGAGTTGAAAAGAAGTACAATCCAGGCAGAGACAACAAGCCCACAGAATATCTTAAAAGGAATGGCTTCCTGAGTTCTCATGCACTGAGGCTAGATGACTGGGCCTTGATATAACTCTCTCCAGCCCCACTGACCAGCCATTTGATACTATGCTTCCAGGTGATGAATTTGTGTGAAATGGTTGTCTTTAAATGAAGGGCAATTCCTCAGGAGAGACTCAAGTAATTTTCACTAGCCAGCAACATTCCTAGCATGTGGGGATGAAGGTAATTGAGAGGGGAGAATTCATTGCCTCAATGGTTACACATGTAACACTTCATAGCACCCACCACATCTATAAGAGCTAATATATTTTTTCTGGGAATTTCTTTACTGTCTTTTCTCATTTATCTTTATATATCCCTTACAAGTCAACAAAGAAATACTGCAGTGGTGGTTATAGTGACTACACTGTGGTTGCTGGCTGTTTTTTTAGTGTTTAAATTAAATAATATTACCCTTAGGAATAAAATGTAAAACCATTTTTTTAAAATTCCCATCAAAATCAACATAACATACTGTTTGTGTTAGTAACAGAAATATATTTAACTGCATAGATAATAATGAATAGCAGTCTGGATTTTCAAATAAATTATTTCAAGATGATATTTACTAGGTTAGATACATGTACCCTAACTCCCACCCATTCACTTCCTAGAAATGTGTTTTAGGTGATGTTATTTAGGTGGTAAAATCAGGTCAATAACTCCTACTGAATCCTTAGATATTATGTGTTGTACAGGGAAAAGGTAGTATAGGTAAAACTTGTGTGAGACACACTTTGTTGTTTTAGACTAGACTGTAAGTTCCAGCTGTGTCTGAATGTTTGTGTTTCCCCAAAATACATATGCTGAAATCCTAACCCTCAAGATGGCGGTATTAGAAGGTTGGGAGGTGATTAGGTCATGAGGGGTGTTAACAATAGTTCCCTTAATAAATGAAAGGCCTAAGAGAGACCCGTCGCACATTCCACTATTTGAGGACACCACTAACTGTGAGCCAAAAGCAGGACCTCCTCAGACATCGAATCTACTGGTGCCTTTATCTTAGAATGCCAACCTCCAGAACTGTCAGAAATAAATTTTTAGTTTTATAAATGCCTAGTTTGTGGTATTTTTTATGGCAGTCGATCAGACTAAAACAAATGTTTACTCTGTTGTGATCAGATAGTTTATATAACTTACCTAACACATAATAGGTACTCTAGTAGGTCGCTCCTCCTTTGACCTCAGACCTTTCCATTTGAGAAATTTTACAACTTTATTTCAAAATGCATTCCATCTACTTTACAAAGTAAAAATACAAAGGCCTCTTATCATGATGTGACTATTAGGCTTTACAAGCCTATATCAAAGTGTTTCATGTACCCCATAAATATATACACCCACACATATTAAAAATTTAAAAAGTGAATGTTATACACCTCCCCACTTCCTTTACAAAACTTAGCTCAATTCCATCTGGATAATAAGAAAAATAGGAAACTTTATTGAATAATGAGTCACTTCTATGTGTAATTTCCACTGCTAGTATGAGCCTTCAGAAGGGACTGGCTTTAAGAATTGGTACAGTTCTTGACTGAGAGGAACTTCCACCACCTAGCAGATGGGGCAATAGATTACAAGGGCAATTATCACTCAGAGAATTGCTGATAAGGTCAAATTACTGCTGTCACTTTATTCTTAATCTCTGTATGCATTTTTTTTTCTAAAAGAAAACTGCATATACAATTCTACAGACCAAAAATATTGCAAAAAATATGAGTTTATATGTCCTAAGAGGGTTCCCCAATTATCACAATTGTTTCAAATGGAAACAATTTCATATCCCATATGTACATATATATAAAAATATATTTATGTATGTGTATATATATGCATATATATGCACACACATACACATTTCTCTGCAGATGTTAGTATGTGGAAATGTATTGCTATATAATAGGGACAATAATTAGAACTCAAAATCTAGAGTAATGCAACTGAAAGTCATATCATGCATGTATTACAAGTAAGATACTCTGCAATGTATACAAGAGAATGTAATTTTTAAGGACCAAATGTGTGTTATTAATCAGGTATACACTCTGTAAACACTACGTGGTATAAAATTGCTTCTCAACACAGGAAATATTTATAACCTAAGTATACAGTCCAAGAAGTACTTTATTTCTGACACTTCATACCAAAGCAACCAGACTGACAAATAAGCATTCTGAGTAAAAGCAGTGTTTTAAATAACTTTTGAACCCAATGCATGCATGCAAGGCTGATAAATGCAAACCCTTTTACATAATACTCAAATCATATTAAAGAGATGCTTCTTGACAGAGATACACTTAAACCATTCTACATTTCTCCTTTTTGTTCTCCTGTGTGAAAATGTCACCTTAAAAGCAATTTTTTAAGAAACAAGTGCTGTTTCATTTCATGTCTTCAGATACATTGTCTGCCCATGTTTTAGCGATTAGGAATTTAGAGGTTTTTGGATGTTTATTACAACTCTTTGACTTATCAGTATAAATATTTATCATACCAATCATATTTATTCTTTGATTATCTTGACATGGCAAGGTTTTTTCAATTTTATTTAAAAGAGCCAGCTGTTTTGTATCTTATTTACTCACCCATATCATTGTTTCCCGTTAAATTAACACTGGCATAAGCCAGCTGCAAGTTGCAAGGAAATCGCACTGAAAACAGAGCTACTATAAATTGTATTCGCCTCTATATACCAACAAAAACAAATAAAACTTTTTTATTAATCTCTATGACTTTGTTGTTGTTTAAAGCAAATCTACATTAGGAAGAGTTGTCAGGAAATTTGGGAAGTTATATTGTTTCCTGAAACCTGATATTGATTGATGAGAGTATACCAATGATTGCAAGTTCTGAGAAAAGAGTTTTACACAAAATGAACAGCAAAAGCTTGGGCATGAGAACAAACTTAGAATGTCCAAGGGATAGGAAAAAACGTCCTGGCAGCAGAGCAGCAGATAGGCAGGAATTGAATCATGTGTACTTTGGTAAGCCATACACGGGCATTGAGAATTTTATTCTTACCACAGTTGGAAGTCACTGGAATATTTTAAGCAAGAGAGTAACTTGAACTGATTTATGCTTTTAAAAGATTACCCTGATTGGCTGTGTGAAAAATAAGCGATAGGGAGCAAAAGTAGAAACAGGGACAGGAGATGACAGTGGCTTATGTATAAGATTTCTTCTAAGGATCTTGAAAGCATCATGAACTAACATCACTTGGGAAGTAGATAAATTCATTGCTGTGTCCATAGTCTGTTTATTTCCCTTTTTTTTTGTATGTATTTGCAGAATATGTTAGTAAACAAAGTGAAATTCAAGGAAATCACTATTAGGGCTGCCTACAAATCAAGTCGGTTTAGAGCTATTATAGTTGAGTAGTAATATTCTTTCAGAAAAAATCTTAATCATAAAGCCCAACACTTATACTATGGCTTCTTAAAAGTGAAGCTGCAAAACTGCTTGTGAACAATCTTACAGCTATTTTTATAACTTTTTAAAGTGTTATGTACATAATTTCTTTTCTGATGACCTCATTGAATTCTAAACCATCTTTTAGCCACACATAAGCCCCAACAGTTAAAACTATTAAAATGCATTAGCATGTCCTTCATTATTTGTTTTAATCAAGAAGAACTGAAATAAGGAATATGTAACATAAATTTAGTTTTGCTAACGAATACATCAGAGAGAAATATATCTCCTTAGAGAGGAATATATTTTATCTAGGTATTTTTTTTGAACAGTGAAGCACTTTTTAAAAAAGTAATACTGTACACAGAATTCCAAAATATAAAACAGACAAATAAATTAAGGTACCTTTATACAAAGTCATTCTATGCAGCTATTATAAAAAGTAAAATATATATGCATTGATAGGGAAGTTTTAATTTATTCCATATAAGTAAATATTAATTGAGCATTTTATATTTGAGCCATCATCCTAACAGTTTGTGATAAGATAGCAAATGATATAGGGAAAGTCTCTGTTTTCAGATGTTTTTATATTTTGAAGGAAGTAGACAAATATTAATCAATTAAGTGAATATGCAAGAAATTTCCACATAGTAAACTAATCTGCAGAAAACAAAGTCATGAATTATCTAATTCTTGAGGGAACCTATTACAGACTGTGTTATTAGGGAAGCCTTTTTTAAGGAGGCATATATGAGGGAAAATCTAAATAACTAAAGGAGCCAGCCATAGGAAAATAGCAGAAGAGAATATTCTGGAAAAAAAAAATGGCACACAAAGACATTTCACCTCAGCCAAAGAATATGGGATGATAAAGGACAGAAAAAAGACCAGGAAGCAGGAGGAAGAGAGGTAGTAGAAGCAGATGGGATGAGGCAAATGAGACAAGATAGTGTAGGACCTTACAGGTCATGGTAGAGGAAGACACTTAGATATGATTACTTAATAAGAAGCTATCATAGCACTGAAGCATGGAAGAGATGTGATCTAATGTCTATTTTTCAATGCCATTCTGACCAGATTTCGGGCAAACCTGGTAGACACCCATAGTAAGACTCCAGGAAAAAAAAAATTTGATGGTTTGATTATATATTTGCTTTAAACATTTGGCTTTTCAGCTGCCTTGCATCCATTTCCCTTTAACAATTTATCTGTTTTTAAATTAATGACCTTTTCTATTAGACACACTTTCATCAGGGGCCCTGTATTGATTGGTATCTTCCAGAGAAACAGAACCAATAAAATGTGTGCGTATGTATGTATATGTGTATGTTTCTCAGAGAGAGAGAGCGAGAGAAAGATAATTTAAGGAACTGGCTCATGTGATTGTGGAGTTGGGCAAGTTCAAAATCTGTAGGACAGGCCAGCAGGCTGGAGACATAGGGAGGAATTGTCATAGTTTGTGTCCAAAAATAGTTTGCCAGAATCCTCAGTTTTTTGAGGGAGGTCAGTCTTTTTACTTAAAGCCTTCAACTGACTGGATGCAGCCAACCGATATCATAGATCCAAAGTCCAGTGATTTAATGTTAATATCATCTGAAAGCATACCTTCACATCAATATCTAGATATATTTGACAGATATCTGGGTACCATGTCTTAGCCAAGTTAATGCATAAAATTAACTATCCCAGGCTCCATTCCCTCTGGTCAAAGGGCAAGCATGTGATTCAAGCTAGGTCAATCAGTTGCTCTCTCCCTCAAATTTGCACTGGGTTAAAAAGACAAAGAATTACATCCTGTCTATACAGTCATGCCAAATCACATGATCCATCTCCAACCCCTAAAACACATAGGTATGGCTTTTGTTCTCAACCTTCAGCTCCTAATTCCTTTAAAAAGTTACCAGTATATTCTGTGAGGCCACAGTGAATCTTCTAATAGTTTACTTTTATGTAGGCCAGAGTCATTTGGCTTGTTTGAAATTAAATATATATATATATACATATATATATATATGTGTGTGTGTGTATATATATATATATATATATATATATATATATATATATACATATATATATATGTGTGTGTGTGTATATATATATATATATATATATATATATATATATATATATATATAAAATTGCTTCAGTCAGGCTCCAGGTACTTGGAAAGACATTCATCAAATTAATAATGGTTATCCTGGGGACTGGGCTTTGAGGATTGAGGATTTCTGATTTTTAATATGTGTCTAATCTTTTTAAATGTTTCAGTATAATTTATAATTAGCAGCCAATTATTTTATAATTAAAGTAAATCCTGAAAAACTTTCTACATTAGTGTGTGGAAAAACAGCACAATTGCCAAATTTATAGGGCGAAGAAGTCCTATGTTTACCTAGAGGGGAAACTCTGAACCACCACAGCCCAACAGGAGGCTCTGTGGGACAATTTGGAAAACATTACCATAATCTATTGTTTTTATATTTATTTAGAAAAGAAACAAAGGGAGCAAGATACCTCCCCGTCTGACATTTAAAATTTGATTCACTGATATATTTTGGCTCACAGTATCACCTTGTGGCATTTGGCATCTGCTGCTCCCCCTCCCCAAAGTCATAATATACTGCATAATTAATTCAGCACAAGTAGTGACAATGCCAACTCTGTTTATTTAAAAAGATACCTCGACTGTTCTTTTGAATAAATAGATTGCATTCCTTTAAAAATCCAAAATAATACTGAATTAATTAGAAGTAGTGCAATCAGAATAAATTAGGTCCTATCTACATACAACTCAGTTTTAAAGCTAGAAATTCAAATTAATAACTAATTTGAATTAGCTACTTCTTCCCATGTGTCTCTGAGTAAACACCAAGCAGACGAAAAATTTCCATTGCCAATAATAATAGTAACAATAGCAAATATTGTTAAACTCTTACTATTTGCTGGTAACTAGTTAAGCATGCTTCATAAATCTTCTTTTATAGTAGTCATGAAAACCACATATCTGAGCTATTACCTTCATTTTGTGGATGACAAGTTCAAACTGAGTTTTAGAGACAGTAAGCAACATACCCAACATCACACAAGATTTAAATTCAGACTCTGAGTGCTTACAAACTATCTTACGCTGTGATGGTAAACATCTTTGCAAATTTTCCCTCATAATTGAGTAAGCCATCAGAGTTTCAGAATAAATGTGTAGGAAAACTTATAAACATCAGGGACAAGCTTAAGGACTTGACATCTTTTACTTTTGTGTGTGTTTCATAGAAAAAAATAGCTCAAAGGTTAATTTAAAGTAATACTTTGAACAAACTCCTTAACAAGAAGAGTTAGACTTCATACTTGTTATTCAGCAGAATAGTGACTTTGTTCATACAACTAAACTAACGAACTCAATTCCTCCTTTCGACTGTTTCTTTTTTTTGCCTCCTTAATAGTTATTTTATACCTGTTTCTTATTATTTATTTATTCCACTAAAAATTTCAATGTCTTCACATTATCTATAATTGGTGCTATGGTATATTACAGTTGAATATAGTTGAACCTGTTCAAATACATTTTGACCAATGATAAGGAGAACCAAGGATTCCTTTGCTTTCATATTACTTCACACATGACTTTTTAAAAAATTTACTTTAATTTCTGGGTTACATGTGCAGAACGTGCAGGTTTGTAACATAGGTATACACATGCCATGGTGGTTTGCTGCACCCATCAACCCATAATCTACATTAGGTATTTCTCCTAATGCTATCCCTCCCCTATTCCCCGACCCCCAGACAGGCCCCCATGTCACACACCACTTTTAGAATCACAATACAATTTCACATTCAGGACAATACTTGCTGAATTTTAGTTTGTGTTTGTGTGCGATTGTTGATGGGAAGAACAAAATGGCAGTCACATCATATGTTGACTCTAGATGTGTTATTTATCATTTGTTTCTTCAAAATATTTTGACAAACGATCTTCGCATTAAAAGGCTGTGGGCAGTTTGGGAGCTACCACCTGTTTCCCTCTTCATTGATCACTTTGCTGGCCCCAAAACATATCCACAGAAAAAATTTTGAAAGTGATTGGCCAAGGGACTCAGTGAGGATATACTTTAATATTTAGAACACTATTAAAAACAAAAGGAGACATTATTAACAATATGCTGGGACAAGAATTATAACCTGGGACTTTCTATGGCAAATGGGATATATGATTACTTGATCTAGACTGTATAAAATAAATAATATATTTGGATAATCTACAATTACAATAAGTATTTATACACACAAACATATATATACGTACATACACACACACACACACACACACACACACACACACACTTCACATATGTACCTTTACAACCAATATACTTTAATTGAGACTGAGAGGACAAGAGCCATGATTATTCATATTTATATTCAATGACTTATTACATAATAAACATATTTTGAAAATTTGATGAGTTAATTCAATTCAAAATATGCAAAAAATATCAGGCTGGGCACGGTGGCTCATGCCTATAATCCCAGAACTTTGGGAGGCCAAGGCAGGTAGATCATCTGAGGTCAGGAGTTCGAGATCAGCCTGACCAACATGGTGAAACCCTGTCTCAACTGAAAAAATACAAAAATTAGCCGGGTGTGGTGGCACATGCTGGTAGTCTCAGCTACTTGGGAGGCTGAGAGAGGAGAATCACTTGAACACAGGAGGCATAGGTTGCAGTGAGCCAAGATTGTGTCACTGCACTGCCTTGGTGACAAAGTAAGACTCCATCTCAAAAAAAGAAAAAAAAAATACTGTATATCTGCTATGTGAAGCCAATGGGTTTCAAGTTAGGATATAATGACAAAGAAGTTTAAAGAATTCATAGCGTAGTGAAAGAAAAACATTCATAGTAAATGAACACACTGTAATGAAGAGTTTAATATTTATAGTAGGAATAAATGGGATCACAAAGAGAAACTATTAGTTTTGAGGATCTATCATTTTAGGTTAACTGATATGAACCTTCAATAACAAATATGTGCTTAACATATGAAACAGAGAGAAAGTAGGGTAATTCTCAGAGTTGTTCAGGGTCATATGTGATGTTCTGTGTGCCTAGACAAGTTGTACTATGTGTGTTAGAAGAGATGAGACTGGAAAGTGGTCAGATATAAGTTACTTTGAATGATAAGATAAAAGCCGTGGAATTCATTTGGTGTATGATGGAAAACACTGAACCTTTTTAAACACCAAAAAATCAGATCAGCATTGTATTGAAAAACAAAAACAAAAACAACTTTGGCTTTATTGTGATGGTGGTTAGAGGAGTGAGAGACTGGAGGCCGGATGCCGAGTTTAGAGTATGTCTTTAAATAGATGTTCTGACAGTGTAAATAGACAGGTGTCAAACAGATTTGAGTAAGAGTATATAGGTAATGCAGAAAATGGCTTTGGAGATTGATTGAGTTTGGAACGGAGGTCATTGAAGTCTAGGTTCAAATCAATAATGACCACAGGAGTAACAATACATAGTAAGTATGGATACATTAGAATTGGATAGAAAGAATAATGAGGCATCTGCCAGAAACACAGTTAAAAATATCCAGAAAAAGACGAGAAATTCAAACTTGGAACTCAAGACAGATTTCAAGTTAGAAGACTTATCTACAACAAATACATAATCCCTATTTGAGGAAAAATAGAACTCTATATAGGTTTGCTCAACTCAATCTTAGTAAAACAATAAGGGAGAAAAAAAGAATTACAAAAGAGAGAAGCCTTGGAACTCTTTAAAATTTAATCATAATTTTAAAATAAATTTCAAAATAAATAAAAGTGATCAAAGATTTAAGAGGCAAAATCCAAGGCCACCAAGGGAATGAGAAAAAACGGTACTTCCATAAAAAAGCAAGAGAGGAGAGATTTCCCAGACTGTAATATATTTAATGTGAGGCTATGCCAAGAAGAAATGATAAGTGTTGTAGATCACTGAAAATCATCATTACTTTTCTGATAACTGAGAAAGCTTCCCCGGAGGGAGAGGGTTTCATAGATAAACCAGAGAAGCTGTTTTTGACATGAAAGCTAGATTTTTTAAGACAAAGATTGAAGTTGAGATGTTTGTCACTAGAAATTATTGGGATCCAATCCAATGGTTTTAAACAGGGGGAGAGAAAAAGATGACCATGTTCAGTGAGCAACTGATGTTGAAATACTGAAAACCACATGGTGCAATAATTAAAGGAAGGTATACACAGTAAACGCATAGAAAATACGTTAATATATCATTCATTTTTCTGTCCAGGGATAAATAACACTGCAAAAGAAAAAACAGCCAACCAATCAAGCAAACACATAAATGTATGCTACTGTTCAATTGAAAAAAATGCATAAGGATTTATCATGGTTTTATCTGTGCTTCATTAGAAAATAAAGCCAAGGATTTTATACTCCAAATTCTACAGACTTTTTTCATAATACCAGAAAACCTTAACTTTACAGACATAATAACTTTAAAAGAGTTGGAAATTAAGAATAAACATACATAATAATATATCTGGGCAATAATTTATTTCATCCTACTTGCCTAGCATCCTCAACGTAGTTTGGCATACATTAAGGTCCTATAGAAATTTATCAAATTAATACTAAATTAGCAGAGTACTATGAATTGCTTTCTACCTTTGTAACACCAGATGTATATATTTATGTGTTCAATATAATATTAATCTTAGTGTTTGTGAAAACATTAATTTGCCAAAGAGAGTTGTTTATATTAGAAAACCGTGTAATCTACATTTATAAAATCAGTGTATTTCTAAACAAGTGACTTTAAATTTTGATATAAAGCGATTTTTATTTTTATTATATCATAGTTCATGAGATAAATTTATTAATAGACTATATTTTTAAAAGTTTTTCTGAACTGACAAATTCTGCATGTATTATAATGGGGTTAGGAATGGTTTCTCAAGTCAAGAATACCACCAAAGTAAGGAAAATTTCACATCAACATAGGTGAACAGGTGGCAAGTCTTCCAAAATTTGAAGAATTCTTTCAAGAAAGGATCAGCAAGTATGTAATTAGAGTCAACATGTTCTGTTTAGCTGACATTAATGGTTAGCTTTCACTCTGGAGAGCAAGATCTTATTGAAATTTCATGAAATTTTAGCAGAATATATAAAGGAAAATAGAAAAAGAGACAATCAAAAAGAATAAAAGTACAGACATAAACACAGTAATTTGAATGTGAAGCTCAAAAACTAACTCCAGTTTTTATACCTAGTGTTCTAGAATGGATTCAAAATAACAATATACATAACAATGTACATAAAAACCTGATGCCAGTACTAAGGATGATTTTATTTTCTAAAGATTGCCACAATAACATTTTCTTTTCCATATGCTCTTCTTATAATGTGACTTGGACACCCCTCATATAGGGAGGTGGAGTATGTTTCTACCCCTTGAAACTGGCAGAGATTTGACTACAACAGAACTGACCCTTCAAATTCCATAGCTAATTTATGAAAATTTCTGCCTAATTCTCTTGGGAAGCTTGTTGTGACAACCCACTGTCTTGCTGTGAGGAAGCCCCAACAGCCTATAAGAGGCTTCAGTGGGGTGAAAATGAAGCCTCAGTCTTCAATCCTGGATGAGCACCAGCCAACAGCCAAAATCAACTTGGTAGCCATCTAAGTTAATCATTATGAAAGTGGCACCCAGCCCTCAGTTAAAGTGCCACAGCTGATGCTGCATGGAGCAAAGATAAGATGTTTTCTCAAGTCTTGCTAAAATTGCAGCTTAGTGAGCAAATTAAATGATTGTAGTTTGAGCCCACTAAGTTTTGGTGGCCTGTTATACGGTGACTGATAATCTGACCAAGTGCCTAGGCTTACAAGTAAATATATCTATATTTTTGTACATGAAATAAAAAAATAAATATTTGCCATAATTACTTAAATGTATAAATCTTAAATTCTCATTTTTTCAAAGTATGTTAAGGAATGGCTCAATCTGTTAAAAATGATAAAAGGATCAAGATTGATCATTCCAGAATTTCTTCCATAATATTTAATTCAAAAAGCAAGGTTTTAAAAGAAAATAAAAGAGTAATTGTTCAAAAAAATATTTATTGATCTTCAGTTAAAGACCTCCTTTTTTTACTGGCAAGAATCCACTATCCTTAGGATCTTTCATGCTCTTTGCCCAAACACTACTTTACAAAGGATTCAGAGCATAAAAAATTTCCTGACTTATTTCTTCACCATTAGTTCATTATTCTCCTTATGTTAGGATATGCAATATTTAATATTGGACTGGGTTTGTCATCTGAAGACTGAATAAGTTTTATCCTTGGACTAGTTCTACTTTGAGTACTGATACTCAAAATATGAATATTATAGTACAACAAGGGAGATAGTGAGGCATTCTGACCAAAAATTTGCCCATACTCTCTGAAAATACTTTTGGATATAAATATTTTTCAACAACTATGTCCACCTACAGAGTGAATCTCCAACTTAACCCAGGCTGCCAGAGCCAGAAAAAACCTGCTATCAATTTTTGCATGTAGAGCTAGGACTCAAATGTATCTTAATTTTATTTACTCTTCCTAAATTGTATCTATATACTTAAACTGTCTACCAGAAACGTTTTTGTGTATATTCAACACATGCAACCAGTTAATATTTGTGCAGAGCTTAGCATAGTTCATTACGAACAGAACATTCTATACAACCTCTAGACATTATGATCACTTACGTTATTACCCCAAATTGAAAGTATAATCTGGTCTCTAGCATTAAACTGCATAGGAATGAGAGAGATGCTCAGTCTGTAATCTGGAGAGGAAAGGAAGGTCAATGATTCTTTGTAAAATTAAGTTTGTACACTCTGCTTTTCAAGCAGCAGTCTCTATCTTCCTTTACTTTCCTCAATGAACTAACTACTAGTAAACAGTCATCAGACTGACTCATTGAATTGGATTATTGCGGTTTCAATGTATACCTTCTCTTGGGGTCCCACTGGTACACTAGCTGAATCTATTAACTCGGAAACATAAATTAATACTAAAAATATATTTTTCTTTTTCCTTTTTTATATTTAAAAGGATTTTAATTGGAAGTACACACACACACACACACACACACACACACACACGCAATACAGAGTGCCAAATTTGTATGGGGATGATTGAAAAAGATTATTATCAAGTATTAAATATTTGTTTCAGCATATTTGTTTTTTCACTGTTGTCTTTCCGAATAGAAATTTTCGAATGAAACAAAAATGCACATTTTAATACCAGCCCAATATACTTGATCCTTACATGTTTAAATTTCATGTGCAAAAAATGATTAGTCATAGAGCAAACCCACCCTCTTGTAGAAATTTTAAAAGATTTTAATGCCAGCGTAATATACTTGAACCTTACATGCTTAAATTTCATGCACAAACAATGATTAGTCATGGAGCAAACCCACCCTCTTGTAGATATTTTAAAAGATAAATAAAAATGAAACTTTTTTAAAAAAAGAGTTATATTTTAGGTTCAGGGGTCCATATGCAGGTTTGTTACATAGGTGAAGTCGTGTCATGGGAGGTTGTTGTATAGATTATTGCGTCACCCAGTTAGTAAGCCCAGTACCCAATAGTCATCTTTTCTGCTCCTCTGTCTCCTCCTACCTTCCAACCTCAAATAGACTTCAGGGTCTGTTGTTCTCTTCCTTCTGTTCATGAGTTCTCATCATTTACCTCCCACTTATATGTGAGAATATGCGGTATTTGGTTTTCTGTTCCTGTGTTAGTTTGCTAAGGAAATTAGCCTCCCACTCCATCTATGTTCCCGCAAAAGACAAGACCTCATTATTTTTTATAGCTGTATAGTATTCCATGTGGTATATGTACATCATTTTCTTTATCCAATCTGTCATTCATGGGCATTTAGATTGACTCCATGTCTTTGCTATTGTGAATAGTGCTGCCATGAACATTCATGTGCATGTGTCTTTATGGCAGAATGATTTATATTCCTCTGGGTATATTCCCAGTAATAGGACTGCTGGATCAAATGGGAGTTCTTCTTTTAGCTCTTTGAGAAATTGCCACATGGCTTTCCACATGGTTGAACTAATTTATACTCCCACCAACAGTGTATAAGTGTTCCCTTTTCTCTGCAACCTTGCCAGCATCTGTTATTTTTTGACTTTTTAATAATAGTCATTTTGACTGACTGTGCAATGGTTTCTCATTGTGGTTTTGATTTGCATTTCTCTAACGATTAGTGACATTTAACTGTTTTTCATTTTTTTATTGGCCACATGTATGTATTCTTTTGAAAAGTGTTCATGTCCAAAAGAAAACACTTTTTGATGTTTTTATTTAATTCTTGTAATTTTAAATTCCTCATAGATGCTGGATATTAGACCTCTGTCAGATGCATAGTTTGCAAATATTTTCTCCCGTTCTGTAGGTGGTCTGTTCACTCTGTTGATAGTTTATTAAGCTGTGCAGAAGCTCTTAAGTTTAATTAGATCCCATTTGTCAATGTTTGCTTTTGTTGCAATTGCTGTTGGTTCTTTGTTACAAAATCTTTGCCTGTGCCTTTGTCCTGAATAGTATTGCCTAGGTGGTCCTCCAGGGTTTTTCTAGTTTGGAGTTTTACATTTAAGTCTTTAATCCATCTTGAGTTGATTTTTGGTTATGGTATAAGGAGGGGGGGGTCCAGCTTCAATCTTCATATGGCTAGCCAGTTCTCCCAGCACCATTTACTGAATAGGAAGTCTTTTTGCCACTACTTTTGTCAGCTTTGTCGAAGGGCAGATGGCAGTAGGTGTGCAGCCTTATAAAAATTATGTTTGTCATCATTACTTTTACCAGTCCTTTCAAGTAAAATTTTTATGTTCACCATCTTTAATAGTTTGTGTGTTTTTTTTGTTTGTTTGTTTGTTTTTGTTTTTGTTTTTTGGGTTTTGTTTTTTTTTTTGGCTGGGATTCAACAAAATAACATAATGGCATATAACTTTAGGTATTCTACATCTATTTTGTCCAGTCAAGTTCTGATTAGCTTTTTTGCCTGCAAAAATACTTCATTTGGCTGAAAACATATTTTTATCCAATGCACATAACTATTTATTTTTCTCTCCAGCTGTTTTTTTTATTCATGCAAGTTAACTGGACCAGTGATCATTGCTGTGAGTAGACTCAAAAGTGATTCTCAGCTATTTTAGATCTGCTGTGAGAAAAACCAATAGATGTATTAATATTATAACATTGGATAAGCACTCTGGCTTTACATTTAGGAGGCATTCCTGTTCTATTCCTCAAAATCTCAAATAGAGGACCCTCAGAACTTCAGTTCTCATGTATTTTGAGGAAAAAAAGTCAAGTAGCTTCCAACAAATTCTAACACTTTGAGCCATTTTGGGAACCCAGAGAGCTGATTGCTTTCCAGGGAAATAGCAAAAATACTGGTTAAATGGTTAAATCCTAGACCACGGAATTTTTAAAAACAGAATATGTGTATACACACACACACACACACACACACACACACACACACACACACACACAAATACACCTTTTAGGGGAGAAATTGATATTTTTGCCTCAGCAGGATATCCATTTGCCTTAAAATTCTTATTCTTAGGTATGTACATCAATCATCTGGGGAGGTCCAAGCTGTGAAATCCAAACTGACAGAAATTTATAGCTCCATTAGCATTTATCAAAAATACAGGATTAAGTGTAGAAAATATGTATTCATGCTTCACCTTTCTATATCTTTACTTTAAGAGGTAAGTATTTGTATTCAGTATTTGTTAGCTCCTACCTTCAAACGGCCAAACATAATCTCCAATAACATTTCAGAATTCTACTGGGCCAAAAATGTATCCTATTGACCTGTGTGTCCTCTGACTTACGACTGCATGTTTAAATATGAATTTAAGAAAATGCTGCACTGATTATTTGGAGTTTTTCAGAATGGCTAGTGAATTCCTTGGTGATTTATTGGTAAAAAAATAAAATAAAATAACCATGTTGGACTGTTGTTTCATAACATACTTTCTATTTGGAAATTATATAATTACTCTTTGTGTTAAAAATGTATTCATACTCCCTGAAAATAGTTTCGGACATAAATATTTTTCAATGTGCATATACTGAGTTTTGCTATTATAAATTATATGTCTACAAAATACTTGAACATGATCCCATTGGGTTTTAAAACATGCAAATAAATGGAGAAAGATAAGAGTATATTTACCGGAGTTCTCAACTCAGGTATGGCAGCTTGATAAGTGAGTGGACGGCAATCACGAGTGTTTGGCACAAGGACACAAGGAAGAAACATTGGACCCAAGTCATCTCCATCCAGAACATCCACTGTGAGAGTGGTGGTGGTGGTTCGCCTCTCATTCAGATTTTGGGCACGGTCCTGTTAGGGAGAAAAACAAACAACAGGTAGTTTATAGAAATTAGGCACAATAGCCAGGAGCAGTGGCCCATACCTGTAATCCCAGAACTTTGGGAGGCCAAGGTGGGTGGATCACTTGAGGTCAGGGGTTTGATACCAGCCTGGCAAACATGGTGAAACCCCGTCTCCACTAAAAATACAAAAATCTGGGTGTGGTGGCAGGAGCCTGTAGTCCCAGCTACTTGAGAGGCTGAGGCAGGAGGATCGCTTGAACTTGGGAAGCAGAAGTTGCAGTGAGCCAAGATCACGCCACTGCACTCCAGCCTGGGCGACAGAGTGAGACTCAGTCTCAAAAAACAACAACAAAAAAGAAATTAGGCACAATGTAGACTTAGTTTTCATTGAAAAAAAAAAGATTGGTAAATTAACTTGCTTAAACCAACAGTTTTAAGTGGTTGAGTCAGGATGTAAACTGAGATCCAATTGTCTTCAAAGCAACTTTCTTGAAAGTATGTTACAGTAGTTAAGCTTTTGTATGTTAGGCCTTTACCTAACAGTTCACATTACTAGACAGCCTAACCATAAAGGTCACTCTCATCTCATTAGAGCATTTACTTTAGAAACCTTGTAATTGTAAATTCCTTCTCTGCGCCTCTGAGGTGTTAATCTTTTATAAGCTGCTTGTCAGTTCTACAAACCAGGCCCATCTTTTTCATGCCCTGGGGGGCCATCTCTTTGAAATGTAATAGTCAAGGAAGAAGCCCGTATTTCCCAGTTTCTGTGGGAGGTTAGGAGCCTGACTTCCTTTGGAGGCTTGCTCCAATTTCTAAAACTACTTTCTGTCATGAAAATTCAAGGAAATTTATTTTCCTTTGGGAATGCCAATTAGTAAACACATCTGGTCTGTGATTCCCCCACACCCAAGTCCACTGGAGTGTTTAACAGCTCTCCAGCCATTTTTTCTATTAGAGATCAGTTCAGATCTAGTCTGTATTCTGGTCTCTCTTCTCTATTGCAATAGCTGTGAATACAGTCTTCCTTATCATTTAACTTTGTCTAGTGCAATTTTGCTGTAGGAATACATTGTTACTAACTAAAATCCAAAGTTTCTTTAGATTTCCTTAGTTTTTACTTAATGTCAGTTTTCTGTTTCAGGATCCCAATCAGGATACCAGTTTGCATTTAGTCATAATGGTTCCTTAGGCTCATTTTGGCTGTGACAAGTTCTCAGACTTTTGTTTTTGATGACATTGACAATTTTGAGCACTGGATATTTTGCAGAATGTCCCTTAATGGGTGTTTATCTGGTGTTTTCCTCAAGATTCAACTGCGGTTATGTGATGTATGTAGGAAAACCACAAGTCAACTGCTATTTTGACATATTTATCAAAAGTATATGATTAATATGACTTATCACTGTTGTTAACTTCATCACCTGGCTGAGGCTGTATCTAGTCAGTTTTCTCAACTATAAATTTCCTCTTTCTTGTTTCCCTTTCATTTCTTTGGAAGGAAATCATGATGGACAGCACACACTTAAAGAATGGGTAGTAATTTTATTAGAAATGTAAATTGTTTATATTTATCTGAAGAATGTTTGTCATAGGACAGAAGAAAATAATATTGGACCTAAGTCATTTCCATGAAGAACATCCATTGTCAAGGGTGGTGGTGGTAGCATCATTCATTATGACAGAATCTGGAAATGTTTTTACTTTCACAGCATTTAGTTATTATTTTGAAGAACTATTATGCTTTTCTGCCTTTTTGAATTCTATTTTGTACAACATTGACAAGTATACTTGCATGCATGTTCATGTAGCACTATTCACAACAGACAAAACTTGGCAAAAGCCCACATATTTATCAATGAATAAATGGATAAACAGATTGTGGTATGTACACACAATAGCATATGATTCAAGCATAAAAAGAAATGAAGTACTGATATATACAACAACATGAATGAGCCTTGAAAACATCATGTTTTCAAATAAAGAAGCCAGACAAAAAATAAGGTCACATATTATACGATCCATTTATATGCAATATCTGGCAGCAGTAAACATATTGGTGGCTACAAGGAGCTGGGGAGGGGATATGGAAAGCAACTGCATGAGTGGTGCCAGCTCTTTTTGGAGTGATTAAAATGTTTGGGAACTGGATAGAGGCGGTGGTTGCACAATACTGTGAGTGTACCAAATGCCATTGAATTGTTCACTTTAAAATGGCTAATCTTATTTTGCTAATTTATGTTAAATAATTTTTAAAAGTAATTATACTAACAGACCTGTATTTTTTTTTTTTTGTTCATAAAATGTCTTCCTTTGTGACAGTTCCCAGACATTAATATTTGCCTTCCAATTAAAAAAAAAGTCCCTCTTGTTAAACATGGTTAATAGTACATTTTGGTTAAGCTCATTCCCAGTCTGGTTGCTCATAAAAACTTGTAAAGCAATGCTTGAGGGTAAAGTTTTAGGAAACACGAATTTCTGTTGGTGGAATTTTGTCAGTACAACCTTGTCTAGAATGTAATAACTCTGTGGTTCCAGGATTCTTTGATATTTTTATACAGTATAAGACAGACTGCGATAAAATTATAGCTTAAAAAAACACAAAATGTTTAAATTTTCAAAGTTTCGGAACTCACTCAGATCCCTAGAGGCACTATAAAGATTATTCAAACCTAAAGACATTTGAGATTCAACAAACAGAAAGAAGTCTTTTCTGAACTTCTTTTATGTCACTAAAAGCAGATACTTATGAGAGTGAGGCTGCCATGAATTCCCTCTGCCAAGAAAGTTTATGAAAATGAAGAAAAAACAAGGAAATCTATTCTTACCTACATAAACATGATCACAAGCTATTTTAATCTCCCCTTTGACTCCTAGAAACCTAGTTTTTCTTCCCTTAGAAGCCTCCTCCCTCTCATTGTGTTAAATATATACACCTTCTTCTTTAGCTGTTTAAGGAGCTGTGTATATGCACTCCCATATGTATATCAACCTCTAGGCCAGTTGAAAAGTAGAGTAGGAGCAACATGTGGCATGTGAGATAATTTTGGTGGTTCACAAATTAACTTTATAAATTATTCTTAAGATGTATGAATTTTGAACATGTAGAAAAATATTAATTTAAAATAAGCGTATGTGTATATTTTAAATTTTAAAAAAAAATAGCTCATCAAACTTGCCACTTTTTTAATACTGATCTTTTATTTAATTGGGTTATAGCTATGTCTATAATATATGAATTAATAGACAAATGATGTAATGATTTGTTCAGTCAGCATATCCTGAGTAGCTTCCAAGGGGCAGATTCCAATACACTGCTTCTGACGGTCTTAAAAAAATGATGAGGACATGTTTCCTCATCCCATTATTAAGAGAGTCATTTAGTACTGAAAATTACTAATGTTAAGATAATGTGACCTCATAAAGATTAGTAGGTTATATTTTCACATATATTTCCCTTTGTGTTGCATCATCCAGTGTTTTAAATCATTAAGTAATCTCATCTTCCATATTTCTAAAGTTATATTAAAGTTTAAGAACTAAAACAAATCTTTAAATTTCTAAATATATATATATAAACTGGAAGCTTCTTTAATAGGGGTGGTAAACTTTTGTTACATTTATTAATGATTTTACATTTGACATTTTTCTCAATAACAAATAAGTTAATAAAATGACATATTTAATATGTATTTGTAAATTTACTTGTGGCACTGGAGTTAATATTTGAAAATTTTTTTATTTATAAAATATTTATTTATTTATTTATTTATTTTAGAAATGAGAATCTCACTACATTGCCTATACTGACTTCAAAATCCTGGGCTCAAGTAATCCTCGCACCTCAGCCTTCTGAGTAGCTAGGACTATAGGTATGTGCCTGGCTTTAACCCACCATTTAAAATAATGATTGCTTATGAAGTTTTAAAAGATTGAATTAATCTAAATTTAATTTATAAAAATAGTAAATAGATAATAAATATTAAATATTTATAATATTTTATGTGATACATGAATGTAGCATGCAGATATAAACACACATATATATGCATATATACACATACATGCATATAAATGCCAGAGGCAATATTTCTACCCTTCCATGTCACTCAGCCTTCTTTATATGTAATCATCAAATCACTATAATAAACAAATTTGAATTTTTTAATGTTATGTTTTCTTTCAGTCTGTCAGCATCAAATCTCTCACTATTATCTGCTTCTTTGGGTCATTGTCACTACTCCATAGAATAGATACTGGTGTGTTAAAGATAGTGTATTTACAGGAAGTGTATACCAAAATACATAATAGGAGTTTTTTCTCATATTGGGGAAAGATATTGCTTACAAAGTGTTGAGCTCTAAAATTTGTATTTTTAAGTGGGAAATAAAAATAATCCTGGCAAAATGATTGTGAGCAGAGATGTAGCAACAAAATCTACTAACAGTTTCCACACGTGGGAATTCTCCCACATTTTATCACCAACACATATCACATAGGAAAATATATAAAAATATGTCTCATGCACACTCATAACTTGTGAGCCCATAATGGTAATGCTAATTCATGATGTTCTCCCAATTTGGAATCAGATTTGATCTTAAAATATCCATTTAAAAAATAATCCTTCAGCAATTGAGATAAAAATCAAAACAAAAACAACAAAAACAGAAAAAACAAAACAACCTACACTTTTGATCTTTATAGTAATATACTACTGCTCAAGGCTCTTCTGAGTAAATGAAATAACATTCTAAATTGTGAGTGGTAAAAAATAAAAAATAACTATTTCTATAAACATTCCATATAATTTAATTATGTTTTCATTTACGTTATGTGATAATCTAATATATATTAAAATCCACAAAGAAGATCTCCTTTCTTCCCTTTCCCATTTTCATCTGCATTTCTCTTCTTTTTTAAAAAATAAGAATATATATTTAACTTCAATTATTTAAAAATAACAGGATATTACATTAAGTTAGGAAACTGTGATTCTAGTTGGCAAGCAAGAATATCTTTTAAAAAGTTAAACAAGTTCAACCAGTACTCTGAACAGAATTGTGTCTCCTCAACCTCAAGCTAGAAAATCTAGAGTAAAGTGATATGTTTCTGGAAACACATAATGTTCCAAGATCGAATCAGGAAACTATTGAAACCCTGAACAGATGAATATTAAGCTGTGATATTAAATTAGTAATAAGAAACTTACCAACCAAAAAAAGCACTGGACCAGATAGACACACAGCTGAATTCTACCAGACATACAAAAATTGACTCAAGATGAATTAAAGATTTAAATGTAATACCTCAAGCTATAAAAATCCTAGAGGAAAACCTATTAAAACTCTTCTTGACATTGGCTTTAGCAAGGATTTCGTAATGATGATATCCTGAAAAGCAATTGCAACAAAAACAAAAACTGACAAGTAGCACCTAAACTAAAGAGCTTCGGCACACTAAAATAAACTGTCAATACAGTAAACAGAAAATGGAAAGAATGGGAGAAAAGCTATGCAAACTATGCATCTGACAAAGGTCTAATATTCAGAATCTATAAGGAACTTAAACAATTTAAGAAGCAAAAGACAAACAATCCCATTAAAATAGGGGCAAGGGACATGAACAGACACTTCTCAAAATAAGACATACATGCAGCCAACAAATATATGAAAACATGCTCATCAGCATTTATCATCAGGGAAATGCAAATCAAAACCATAATGAGATATCATCTCATACCAGTTAGAATGGCTATTATTAAAAAGTCAAAAAATTACATATACTGGTGAGGCTGCAGAGAAAAGGAAATGGTTATATGCTGTTGGTGGGTATGTAAATTATTTCAGACACTGTGGAAAGCAGTTTGAAGATTTCTCAAAGAATTTAAAACCAAGCTACCATTCAACCTACCAACCCCATTACTGGGTATATACACAAAGAAAAATAGTGCATTCTACCAAAAAGACACATGCATGTCTACATTAATTGCCATGCTATTCACAATAGCAAAAAACATGGAATCAACCTAGGTGCCCATCAATAGTGGATTGCATAAAGAAAATGTGGTGCATATACACCACGGAATACTACAAAGCCATAGAAAAGAATGAAATCATGTCCTTTGAAGCAACATGGATGAAGCTGGAGGCCATAATCCTAAGTGAATTAATGCAGCAACAGAAAACTAAATACTACATAATATCAGTTTTTCAATGGGAGCTAAACACCAAGTGCCCAGGGAAATAAACCTGGGAACAGTAGACTGTGAACTGCTGGGGCAAGGAGAGAGAATGGATCAAAAAACTACCCATTGAGTACTATGCTGACCACCTGAGTGCAATACACCCATGCAACAAACCTACATATGTACTCCCTGTGCTTAAAATAAAAGTTGAGGAAAAAAATAATGCTTCTATGAACATTAACCAGAGGAAGTTGGGTATTCTATTGTCTTGTAAACATTTTTTGTTTGAGATATTTGCCTAATATTTCTTATTTTTTATGCAAACCAGTAGACAGAATTATATTATCATTTATAGCCCCAAATGCTCATGTATCTTTAGTAGCCAAACACTCAGTAAATATTAGGTCCCATAAACCATCACCTGCTATCCTCCCATTTCACTCTCACTCCTCAGAAAATGCCCAAGAAACTTGCAGAGTTAAAACAATGGGGTTACAATTAACACTAATTCCACACATCAGTAGGAAGCAGAAGTGAGGGAAGGTCAGGGTAGAGGTTATTTCTGAAAAGTTGTTTACAAGGTTGAAATATAAAATATAGAAAATTAATTTTACCTATACAAACACATATGTTTGCAATGCTTACACATTTTATTTGAATATTTCTGTCCATAAAGATAAAAAATTGAGCTAATAAAGAAATAGTAATATTATAATTTTAGGAATTATATCTTGTTAGGAAAGATAGCTAGCATCCCTTCTCTAGATTTTGCTATTTGAGAAATATACAACACCCTTGCTATTCATAAAATAATTTAGAAATTATAAATTATTCTTGCCATGATTCTAAATTAAATTTAGGCCGGGCACAGTGGTTCATGCCTGTAATCCCAGAACATTGGAAGGCCAAGGTGGGCTGATCACTTGAAGTTGTTAATGGTTTCAGACCAGCCTGTCCAGCACAGTGAAACTCCGTTTCTACTAAAAATACAAAAAATTAGCTGGGAGTGGTGGCACATGCCTGTAATACCAACTACTCGGGAGGCTGAGTTAGGAGAATCATGAACACGAGAGGCGAAGGCTGCAGTGAACCGAGATCACCCCCCTGCACTACAGCCTGGGTGACAGAGCAAAACCCCATCTCAAAATAAATAAATAAATTATAAAATAAGTAAATATAAACTTTTTTCTTTCTGGTAATTAAGAAATCTTGATTACAAAAGTGTTCTTATATATTTCACTCAGGATAACAATAATATAAAAGAGAGTTTGCTTTGAAGAAAAATGATATGTAAAGAGATTACTTTGATTCTATGTGAATTAGGGTAACATATCAAAGTTGAGGTTATAATAATATGTAGTAAATTTCAACAAAAAGAAAACCCATTTGATCTTTCTAGATCTACCCCCAAAATTTTTGTCTGGAATTAATCATTCCTTCATTATGTATTTATATTTGAAGTCAATAGCATGGGTGACAATATTGCAAATATTCTCAAAAAAATATGTGACAGGGTTTTCTAATATGGGTCAGTCAAAACTCAATTACCTTAATTACGGATCATAACATGTAAACACGGATAAAAAGAAACCTCCAAACTACATGTAATTTGAAGGATTCTCTTCGAAAATCAAATATTTTTAACATAAGCAAAACCAGGTCAAAGCTGGGTAATGTTCAATAATTTGTCATGATACCTGTAATTATTCTTTTAGAGGCCATATACTTTAAAGTCAAAATTGATTGCTCATATCTTAATTCTCCTTATGACTTCAAGATAATATATTGGTGCTTAATGTACATGACTTACATTGTGCATACCACCAACACAATATAAAAAACCACTGCCAGGTGCAGTGGCTCATGCGTGTAATCCCAACACTTTGGGAGGCTGAGGTGAGTGAATTGCTTGAGGCCATGAGTTTGAGACCAGCCTGACCAACATGCTGAAACCTCGTTTCTACTACACATCCAAAAATTAGCTGGGTATGGTTGCACGCATCTGTAATCCCAGCTACTCAGGAGGCTGAGGCACGAGAATAGCTTGAACATGGGAGGCTGAGGTTGCAGTAAGCTGAGATCATGCCACTGCACTCTAGCCTGGGCAACATAGCAATACTCTCCTCCCCTCCCAAAAAGAAAATCCAGGTGTGGTGGTACGTTTGTGGTCCCAGCTAGTTGGGAGGCTGAGGCATGAGAATCACTTAAACCCCGTAGGCGGAGGTTGCAGTGAGCTGAGATCGCACCACTGTACTTCAGCCTGGGTGACAGAGCAAGACTGTCTCAAAATAAATAAATAAATAAGCAAACAAACAAACAAGATAAATGTAAAAAAAATGGAGGTACATTTTAGATATATGGATATCATTATCATATACAAACAAAGATATGTTAGACTTATGTTACTATTGGTATATACAAAACAGTTAATGATTAACAACCAGCTATCAGATAAGTAGCCCTGATTTGTAGCACTGGCACTTTCCATACTGTAAATGCTCCCAGCATGGCTGCAAATGTGAGATCACTGAACTCAGAGTTTGAAAGAGAAACCCACAATTGGCCCTCAAGCAAGTCTCAGCTGACTTTCCACCTCCAACAACCCACAGTTTTAAGTTACAGATTTAAAATGTTGTGAAAATGAGCATCCTTCTTTATCATTTGTGGAAGTGTGATATGTCACAACACTTTGAAAAATAATATAGCATTATCTACTAAGATTAAAAAGTATGTGAATATATATGTACAAATACACATACACATATACACATATATATGCATACATATAATTTTCTCAAAGCAATTCCATTTTTAATTACTGATTTTTAAACAGTAAAGTACCAGTATTTTAGTGATTTATATAATACTGTAATAATGTCTCAATATATTTCAAGCATTAGTCTAAGTACTTTTTTGTTTGCTAACTAGCTAATTGTAACCAGAACAATGTGGTATGTTTTATTAATATACCCATTTTACTGGTTAGGAAATTAACATACAAAGCATGCCCCAAATCACACAGCCAGTAAATGGCTGAACTGAGATTTGAACTCAGGTGACATAATTCACTACACTCACTGCCTCTCTTGAACATCATGAGGGTAGATATCAATTTGGTGCCAAAAACAAATGATCAAATAAACAAAAACGGAGTATTGTTGAATCAATGGTGATCCATTATTATTATCTTACATTATGTAGCTATTAAAATTATTTGTTCTTAAAACTTTTAAAAATGCTTAAAATGTTATAACTTTCTATATTTAACATTTCATTGTGTACTGTATGACTTAAGTTTATAACAAAAACTGTTATTGCATTTAAATTCAAATGTTCATTCGACTTCTTCCTAATGCTATTCCTTCCTTTTGATGATTCACATATGTACTTCTGTTTTATAACTTTATCCCTGAAATGCTAAAAACTTGTCACTACCTCAGTGATGAGTAGTCCATCATGTTGGATAGAAGTTGTTCCAGATGTCTTTATAAATATTTTAAAACTAGACACCAATTCAGAATCTTTTACCTTGCATTTCTATTAAAAAATTATATCTTTTTAATTGCATGATAAAAAAACTAGCTTACAAATACCTTCCACAGCAATCTGACTTCATAAAAAAGACATTCTACCTTTTCTTCACATCTTCAGTTAAATAGAAAAAAGAATTTTCTGTGTTTTTGAAAAACTCTGAGTGGCCCTCCCTAATACATTTTACTTTTCCCCATATCTACAGTTTTCACTCTGCTCTATGTTACATGACATTAAAATATATACACACATACAGACACACACATAATACATATAACATCTTATAATATATAATTATAATATATAAAATAATAAATCATTTTTAAAATCTGAAGAAATATAAATAAAAGCTTCCAAACTTAGCTTCAAAAATTAGATCTATATGTCTATCTACATATTTCTATCTACATATCCCTAATTATATATCTATCTAGGTATCTATCTATACACATACACATTCTGTGTCAGGTGATATATCTCTAAGAAAGGCAAGAAAATGACAAGTTTGTGGCACATTTTTTCATGTTAACTTCTTCAGAACAGCTAATTGAGGTTATTTTCCTTTTAGCATCCCCTGCTATCTATCTGTTCTGCTGTATGAGCAAGATTACAACGCTTAGGAGTCATTAAAGGCACAGGATGGCTTCAGAGTATAGCTGCTTTAAAAAAGAAAAGGCTATTAATTTAGAGCAGTTTTAGGTTTATAGAAAAATTGAGAGGAAGGTATATACACCATGTCTCCACACGTGCACATCCTCCCCACTTACAACATCCCTAATCAAAGTTGTACATTGGTTACAATTGATGAATCTACATTGAACAATGATAATCACCAAAGTTCATCCTTTACATTAAAGATCACCGTTGGTGTTGTACATTCTATGGGAATGGACAAATGTATAATGATATCTATCCAACTTCATGGTATCATCCAGAGTATTTTCACTGACCTAAAAATATTTCATGATCCTTCTATTAATCCCTTTCTACCTGCCTTTACCACCATATCCCTGACATCCACTGATCTTTATACTATTTCCCCAGCTTTGCCTTTACCAGAATGTTATATATTGGAATCATCCAGTATGTAGCCTTTTCTTAATGGTTTATTTTGCTTATAAGTATGCATTCAAGATTTCTCCATACTTTTTATATCTTTATGCCTCATTTCTTAACGGTTATTTCAAAAACGTAAGCTTGTCACTTAATATGGGACTTTTTATGTGACCTCCCCTTCTAGCTTTTTTCTCAAGGGGTACTCCCATTCATCTTGCTAAGAAAAGAAAAATGTTTTCAGGTCATCAGTGTGCCCAGTCTCAGGATATGAACTATACATAGTATAATTCAGAAGTGAATACCGCATATCCCTTTGACACATATGGACTTCCTCAACCTTCGTTCCTATTATGCTGACACAGGTGATACAAGTCTAGAAGGAGATGTTGGATGGGAGAAAACTCTGAAGAGAGTATCTTCCCAGATAAAAGAAGGAAGAATCAATAAACGTAAAAGAAATCCTAGTTTTGCTACCCTTTCTGCCTGTTGCATTCAGACTTGAAATGCAGTTGTGATGCTTATGGCCATGGTACACAAATACCTCCCAGCTGATAAGGCATTGGGAAAATAACCACATTCCAGAGAAGAGGGAAGTATAAGGATGGAAGGAACCTAAGTCCCTGGTGATATAATTGAACTGTCAAACCAAACATTGAGCTGCATAATTCCAGAAATTTTATTAAACTTCCACTAATAATAACTATAATAAATGTCTATGTTTTATAAGCATATAAGCATGTCTATGTTATATAAGCATGTAAGGATATCTATGTTTTATAAGTATATAAACCATGTCTGTGTTTTACAAGCATATGTTTGGATGTCCTGTTATTGTTATCTACATACATTAGCATAAACTTCAGTTATGGGAATATTAGCTGATATCTAGTGAACAATTACTCAATAAATGATAGCCATGAGGAAGAACACGACCAATTAGGCAATGATTCTTTGCCTTTAGTGTACCTTAGAATTCCCTGAAGAGCTAATTAAAAATGCAGATATTCCACTTCCATCATCTGAGATTTTTATTCAGAACATCTGAGGTAGGGTCCAGAAATATGTATATTTAATACACACCCAAGGTGATTCTGCTGCTGTTAATTTGCAGGATCCTACTTTGAAAAATATTTCAGTATAGTCTAAAAAGGTTGGATAATGGATAATACATATGAATAATTTAGAGGTCAAAGAATACAGTGAATAAAAACAACCTATTCTATCCCTTTCTCCATCTATAAGAGTATTATATATAAACACCAAGGGCAGGAGTGCCCTGATGAAGAAGTGAGTGGCACAGAGCTCTCCAAGAGTATCTGATACATTTTGGATGAGTTTTTTACTTCATAAATTCACAGAAGAAATTTAAAAGAAATTGAATACTCACATTAGCTTGGATTATGACAAAGTAGCGAGTCTTATCTTCATAGTTGAGCCTCTTCCTTAACACTATATTTCCAGTCAACATTAGGGGAATTTCAAAGGTGTCATTGGATGTCTGCAAATATTAAAGATACAGACTTCAGATTATTTGAATGTAAGATGAATTAATAACTCAATATTTTGGATTAATCCTCTTGGAAGTTAGAGATGACATGCTTATCATCTGAAAATAGAATGACTATAAGCTTCAGAGTCAATATTGTTATCATACTTCCAAACATTTAATTTTGATCAATGGGTTTCCCCAGAGTCCTTTGGTAATAATAACCAGAAAATTTGTTTCTTGTCATAGTTTTTAATATATTACTAGTATTATTCATCAACAGTCTTGGAATAGTTCTAAATCAAAGTCCAGGTATCTGAAAAACTTCCCTGTTACCACATTATCTTTTCACTGTGTTCTTTAACACCAAAGCATTCAAACACTGAAATCTGTTATTTCTACATAGTATCAATTGTCAACATTGATATCCATTCTGTATTTTAAGTATTTTTAAGTATTATCTGGCATTAAATACAAAAAAAAAAATACAGTTACGAGTCACTTAGTGATGAGGTACATTCCGAGAAATGTGTTGTTAGGTGATTTTTGTCATTGTGTGACTATTATAGAGTGTAGATTCACAAACCTAAAATGGTACAGCCTACTACATACTAGGACAAGTGATATAGCCTATGGCTCCTAGGCTACAAACCTGTACAGCATGTCACTGTACTGAATGCTATAGGCAATTGTAACACAATGGTCAGTATTTTCTCTATAAATGTAATCTAAACATAGAAAAGGTATAGTAGAAATACAACATTATAATTTTATGAGACCACCATTTGCTATGTGATATATCATTGACCAAAATGTCATTATGCAGAGCATGACTGCGTGAACTTGAATCAGTTCATTATTGTGGAAAAAAAAATCCAGGTTATATATCATTTTTTTCTTTTAGGTTCCACAACTTCTGCTCATTAGTTAAGTTCTCTGCCCTGTCTAGGACTGAGTTTTTTCCTGGTAACATGGAAGTCATAAGGGCAACACTAGTGCTCTGGTATAAGCAGCCCTCAGTGTAACTGTATTCACACCTTAAGGGAGTATAATTTATAAGATAAATCTCTTATTCTTAAGAAGACCTTATGTCACTTTTGTATTTTAGTGCCATTTTAAAGAATGATAAAATTGTTTCTAGTAGGCTCAATAACTCAGTGTTATTTTGTTCACTGAAATTGTCTTGTGGTTGTTCAGTTGCCTTGTGTATTTGTGCTTGTGATTTTTTTGTGAAATATTTAGTTTGAATCTGCATTAGATTGCTGCAAAAGGAAGGAAAGAGAGGGAAAGAAAAATGAGAGGAAAAGGCAAGGGGAAGGAGAAGAGAAAGGGAAGGGGAAGTGTGGAAGAAGAAAAAAACTGTGTATGTGAGAGAGAAACAGAGAGAGAGAGGAAGAGAGAGAGAGTGTTCACACCCTCAACTTAGTGTAAGTGTATTCCTAAGAGTCACATAAGAAGTTAAACTCAATGAAAAAAAAAAAGCTGATTCAAATCTCTCAGCTCAGGCTCAATCAATGAAATGTGTGTAGTTTAGCCTTCCATGTCTAGAGCTGTGATCTGTCTCCTTTCTTTCTTTCTTTGTCTCTCTATCTCTCTTTCTCTCGGGGATGCATAAAGACACACACACTGTACATTTTGCAGAATTAATATATATTTTTAAATGATTCATTCTGTGCTCCTCATGTAATGGGCCTTGCAAATCGTTCTTGGATGCAGTCATTTAAAAGTAACAATTTAAAATATAAATACAGAAAATGAAAATGAACAACACAATTAAAAACAGACATTTGACATTTTCCCTAATTTTTTGCCTATTCAACTTTGCTTATACCTATGAGTGGGGCTGGCATTATGACACAGGAGTGTGAAAATGATTGAATCTAAACATGTAAGTTGAATATGGGCAAAACCTTAGTTAATAATTGCTGTTTACACTGTTAAACTTATCCTAATGTGTTGTTATGAGGTTATTACATTTTAGTGACTCAATAATATAGAAATATATATTGGTTTCTAGCATAAATATGGAAGATACTGTGGTCTTACCACAAAACTACCACATCTCTGGACTCAGAACCCCAAATTAGCTCACATATCTGGTGACATTGTGCCTCAGAGGAGGCTATGTCTCTAAATGAGATGAGTCTTGAATAGTCTAGCTTAAAAACAGTAATTCCATTCTCTTTTACCAGGAAGTATTTTGCAAATGTACATGTGATTCCATTTTGAGTAATGAAAAAATTTCTCTTAATTGCAAAGATAGAGAGAAGCTAAAAATCCCTTTTCAGGTTATAGAAGTTTCTGTCAGGATATAAAATTTAGAACTTCAGCAGCCATTTGGGGACTATTGATAAAATTAATTACGGAGAAATAGCTAACATGCTAGTGATAGCAGAGTATAAAATAAAAAGAGCCCGGATCTGTGTTGTCTTTGAGTTGCTGAGCAAATCTTGATATTACCCCATCTCTGAAAAACTTATTATGATAGATAATAAATTACCTTTTTGGTTAAATCATCTTTAATTTAGTTTTTTACATATATATAATATATATATAATCTATATTATATATTATTATATATAATATAATATAATCTATATTACATATTATTATATATAATATAATATAATCTATATTATATATTATTATATATAATATAATATAATCTATATTATATATATAATATATATATAGTAAATTTTCTGCAGCTGAAAGCACTTTGATACATGATTATTCCTGTCTCTATGTGTTTACACTGTAGGCCTCTCTCTTCTCCAAACAGGCCATGGCTCTTCACACCTGATATTTGCTCTTATTTTTCTCTTGCTTAAATATCCCATCACTTATTTCTCTGTGTACTAATCTTTGCAAACTTTACTCAGTGAAACCTCTTAAATGTAATTTAGACTTAAGTCTTTGATGTGATCTCACATTATTTTTTCCAAAAAACACTTATTTGGGATCTTCTGTTTTGCTTGACAGATTCCTCAAGGGTCTCAGTCTGTGATGCAGAAATAACCTATCCTTAAATGTCTAGCTAAGCAACTTAATGAATCTTTGCAATACTTTTTTTGTTGTTGACAGTTTTCATTGGACGTTTGTAGAATTATTAAAAATAATAGTTATTAGTGACTTTATTGATCTTCAGAGCACTTTCAATTGCACTGAATTCTTATCATCTTAAATCTATCCTTTAGAGATTTTATAGATTCTTAGATTTTAATTTTACTTTTTATATGTATGTATTTATTTATTTATTTATTGAGATGGATGCAGTCTTGCTCTGTCATCCAGGCTTGAGTGCAGTGGTGCAATCTCAGCTCACTGCAACCTCTGCCTCCTGGGTTCAAGCGATTCTCCTGCCTCAGCCTCTGAGTAGATAGGACTACAGGCATGTGCCACCACATCTGGCTAATTTTTATTTTTTACTTTTAGTAGAGATGGGGTTTTAACATGTTGGCCAGTCTGGTCTCGAACTCCTGACCTCAAGGGTATGCCCACCTTGCCTCCCAAAGTTCTGGGATTAAAGATGTGAGCCACCATCCCTGGCCTAGATTTTCATTTTGTTAGCACTTGTATTCTATAAAATATAAGAATAGGATATACTTTATCATCAATGGTGCTTCTGAAATGTTGCATATTGAAAGCCACTGTATTAAATTTAATTTATTAATTAAGCAATTATTGAGTATTCATTCTGTCTCTAAAATGTAGAATAATAATCAAGAAAATTAGAAGCAAAATATAGATATCTTTGGTATCTTTATGATAGTCTTCTTTTTCCTCTAGTAAAAAGAATACTGGATTAGATCAACCCTAAGTAAAAGTCTTGCTTTAATGATATTTCTGAAGTGTTTACCTAAAAAGTTTAAAAAAAAAAAAGCTAAATTAAGCAAGGGAAAAAAGTAGATTTTTTAATAAATAAATACATGATAAAGCCATGAAAAAAACAAAACAATACTTAGAACATTCTTAAAGTTTAGAATGCACAAGAATCATAGGCATGTATCATTAAGACTGTAGATTCCTAGCATCTATTACCCAAAATTCCCGAAATTCTTGGGAATCGGCATTTTTAACAAACCTACCAGGTGATCCTGATGCAGATGATTCAGGTTTTACTTTTGAGAAACCACTGTACTACGTAAGTCTAAGAGTGACTGCACTCTCTGTCCTTGCTATTTATTTTTCTCTTCTTTCATTCTTAGAGATTTGTTCCACCAATGAGGCAGAAAAGTTTGGGAACAGAGCAATGCCCATTTACTTAAGCAACCTTACATTTCTAAAGCCAGGACATTGCCCCCTTTCTGATAGTCGTGGATATTCTCTTTAAAATACAAACTAACATTGGCTTTTTTGGGTGATAAGAATTTAAGTGCTGACTACCTGCACTGTATTAATGAGAAAAATCCAATTATGGTTAAATGATTTAATACCCACACGCCCCAAACACCTGGCCTCCATTAAGAAAGGTCCACTCACTACTTTCTGACAGTTCAGTGACAACAACTGTCAAATAAGGGACAATTCTCCATTTAGTAAAATAAGGGCATAAGGCAGTTTAAGCAATTTATCACTATCACAGATATGGGAAGCAGGGTAGGAGACAGCTGTAACATCCACGCCACACACATTCACATTCAATAATGGAGAGAGAAGGAATGTTGAGGCTCTAGCAACTCTGTGTTTCCCAAGATGATTCCATCCCCCCAGAATCCCCTTTACTAATATGGGTTTGCACCAGTTTAGATAAAACGGCAGCTCTCTGAAAGGAGGTGTTGAATCCTACAGTTAAAGATGCTCTAGAAATGGAATATGGGGTTATTAGCACTATTTCTTCTCAGCTGATAGATTTGGTCATTCATCATTTTTAGGAAAGAGGGAAAGACTCCAGCCTTTCACACCTATGTTGTAAGCATTGTTTGTAATATTCTCTTTTCAGCTGTGATGACTAGAAATTCAGTTCAAAAGAAGATAATTTCTAAAGAACACACACACACACACACACACACACACACACGTGTATATATATTTTCTGGTGACCTAAAGACAGAGACTTAGTACAAAAGTGCCTCAATGGGCCTGTAATTGAGAAGTGGCGGAAATGTAGATAATTACGATTTTCTCTTTATCTCTGTAAATTCTCTTGTTCTTTGACACTTTTTTTTGAAGTATCTTCCCTTATCTTTGTGTCTTTTTCTGTACCTCTCTCTTCTCTCTTTGGGTTTCCCCCATTTGTTCACATTGAATATAACTGTGAGTCTGTGTTTTAGTTCCAATAAGCAGCATCAACTTTGCCCTTATCAATCTTTAGACAGCCTTAAGCTTGTCTCTGATTAAGCTCAGGCTACTGTGCCATCAGCTGCTGAAAATTCTATGTTATTGTCATTGTTTGTGTGTCTCCTCTAATCTAATTTCCTAAAGTAAAAAGTGGAGGACTAAGTAAGGCTATGCAATTTTTGTCCACCCAAGAGGGACTGGGATTTGAGCAGGCAACATTAACTTTGCTCCTAAGAGAAAGTCCCAACACTCTAATCATTTTTTCTGTTTCATACTGTTAAAACATGTCCCTGGCTGACAGACAAAATGGACTCCCTATGACTAACTGAAGTAAGTTAAAACAAAACCAACAAAACCAGGTGGCCATGCCTGAGTGACAAAGTGGTCGCATACTCTGTGTTCTCAGAAAGATGTCAAAGCATCACAGGATCTTCCTTTCTACAATTGATATGGTTTGGGTGTGTCCTCATGCAAATTTCATCTTGAATTGTAGCTTCCATAATTCCCACGTGTTGTGGGAGGGAGCTGGTGTGAGATAATTGAATCATGGCATTTCCCCATACTGTTTTTGTGGTAGTGAATAAGTCTCATGAGATCTGATGCTTTTATAAAGGGAAATCACTTTCACTTGATTAAATTCTCTCTTAGTCTGCTTCCATGTAAGACATGCCTTTTGCCTCCCACCAAGATTGTGAGGCCTCCCAGGCACATGGAACTGAGTCCATTAAACCTCTTTTTCTTTATACATTACCCAGTCTCACGTATGTCTTTATCAGAAGTGTGAAAACAGACTAACACAGTAAATTGGCACTGGTAGAGTGGGGTCCTGCTGTAAAGATATCAAAAAATGTGGAGGCAACTTTGGAACTGGGTGGCAGGCAGAGGTTGGAACAGTTTGGAGGGCTCAGAAGGACAGGAAAAGGTGGGAATGTTTGGAACTTCCTAGAGACTTTTTCATTGGCTTTGACCAAAATGCTGATAATGATACGGACAATGAAATCCAGGGTAAAGTGATCTCAGATGGAGATGAGGATACTGGAGTAAAGGTAACCCTTGCTATGTTTTATCAAAGAGACTGGTGGCATTTTGTCCCTGACGTAGAGATTTGTGGAACCTTGAATTTGAGGGAGATGATTTAGGTTATTTGGTGACATAAGTTTCTAAGTAGCAAAACATTCAAGATGTGACTTCAGTGCCATTAAAAGCATTCAGTTTTAAAAGTGAGACAGAGCATAAAAATTCAGAAAATTTGCAGCCTGATAATGCAGTAGAAAAGAAACACCCATTTTCTGAGGAGAAATTCAAGCCAGTTGCAGAAATTTGCATAAGTAATGAGGAACCAAATGTTAATCACCAAGGCATGGGGAAAATGTCTCCAGGGTGTGTCAGAGACATTTGTGGCAGCCCCTCCCATCATAGGCCAGGAGCCCTAGGAGAAAAAAGCGGTTTCATGGGCCAGGTCCTGGACCCCCCTTTCCGTGTGCAGCCTAGGAACTCGGTGCCCCGTGTCCCAGCTGCTCCAGCCATGGCTATAAGGAGTGAAGACATAGCTCAGGCTGCGGCTTCAGAAGGTGCAAGCCCCAAGCCTTGGTAGCTTTCACATGGTGTGGAGCCTATGGGTCCGCAGAAGTCAAGAACTGAGGTTTGGGAACCTCCACCTAGATTTCAGAGGATGTATGGAAATGCCTGGATGTCCAGACAAAAGTTTGCTGAAGGGGCAGGGCCCTCATGGAGAACCTCTGCTAGGGCAGCATGGAAAGGAAGTGTGGGGTTGAAGTCCCCACAAAGAGTTGCCACTGGCGCACTGCCTAGTGAAGCTGTGAGTAGAGGGCCACTGTCCTCCAGAACCCAGAAAGTAGATTTACTGATAGTTTGCACTGCATGCCTGGAAAGCAGCAGACACTCAAGGCCAAACTGTGAAAGCAGCCAGGAGGGAGGCTGTACCCTGCAAAGCAACAGGGGTGGAGCTGCCCAAGACCATGGGAACCCACTTCTTGCATCAGCATGACCTGGATGTGAGACATGGTGTCAAAGAAGATCATTTTGGAGCTTTAAGATTTGACTGCCCCACTGGATTTCAGACTTGTATAGGGCCTTTAGACCCTTTGTTTTTGCCAATTTCTCTCATTTGGAATGTATATATATATATATTCATACCCAATGCCTGTACCCCCATTTTATCTAGGAAGTAACTAACTTACTTTTGATTTTACAGGCTCATGGGTGTAAGGAACTTGCTTTGTCTCAGATGAGACTTTGGACTGTGAGCTTTTGAGTTAATGATGAAATGAGTTAAAACTTTGAGGGACTGTTGGTAAGGCATGATTGGTTTTAAAATGTGAGGACATGAGATTTGGGAGGTGCCAGGTGTAGAGTAATATGATTTGGCTGAATCCCCACCCAAATCTCACCTTGAACTGTAGCTCCCATAATCCCCAAGTGTTGAGGGAGGGACCCGGTGAGAGATAATTAAATCATGGGGGTGGCCTCCCCAGCCACGTGGAACTGTGGGTCCATTAAACCCCTTTTTCTTTATAAATTACCCAGTCTCAGGTATGTCTTTATCAACAGCGTGAAAACGGACTAACACAACAATAAAGCAAAAACAGATCCTGTTCTTGGTGCCAAGATAAACTACAGCTGGAACTACTTCCTTTTGCCCCCTATGCCATCCCTACACTGGCCCTTTAGCACTAGCCCTTTGAAAGAAACATCTGACAGAAACTTCTGGTTTGGGGCTTGGAAATCAACCAATCAGAGCTCACCTGAATCAACCAATCAGTGTATAGAACAGTCATGACTCATCTGTTTTGACCAATCAGAATTAAGCAAGGATCTATCCTTCATTTGGATGAAGACAGCTTATTGGGAACCTGGGTGGGAACTATAGCTATAAAACCCTAACCCTCTCTTTGTTCTCTGAAATGTGTCTTAGCTTGAAACCACAGGCTGTATATCCATGGTTTGAAAACTGTTCACTGAAATAAAGTCTCTTTCGTCCAAATTCCTTTCCAGAGAACATTTGCTTACAATATAAATTTACCACTCTCCCTCACACAAATACAAACAGATTCATTCACATTTAATGATGCATTATGATTACAATGCAGTTCAACTTATCTTATTCCATCCAACTTCCAAGGAAACTGTATTTGTGTTTGGTTGGGTTTTGAAACTTAAAAGTCACAGCCTTGGTGTGAAAAGACTGAGGTTCGAAGTTTTACACAAAGAAGGCCTTTACACCAGTCTTAATTATACATGAGTTTCCAGTAAAATGAGAATATTATGAATTTATGGAGGCATGGAAATCTCATGATATAATGTACCCTGAAAAGTATTATTAAACTACAGTAAATTTTTTAGTAACCTACCTAGGAATAAGTAATCACTGTTTTAGCTTAACCTTAAATATTTTATTGACATCTGAAATTTGGACTTTGACATATATACACACACACAGAACTACTTCAGGATGGTGATTTTTTTAAAAATCGTTTGTCCTTAAAATGTGGTTTTAACTTCCTGACTCAGGAAATTCAAATGCTTACACATTACAAATGAAAATTATGGCTTACATTTTCTGAATTATCTCAAAGCTACGGGGAGTCAAACATATTACAAAAGAAGGACAATTTACTCAGGAGGACTTGATAAAAGATGTTACCACCCACTGAAACACCACTGTAATACCTCAAAGAAAGAAGCTGCTTATGCATATTGCTTAAGTGTCTTCATTTTTTTTTTCTGAGTAGTAACAGTAGTGAATAACAATGTTATGCTGCTTCCTCAGTAAACTGGAGACTGCTACAAGGGACATGTCATCAGTCTCCTCCTTATCACTTTAGGTCAAACTTAAAATGCTGAATAAACATGCCTCCAGTCTGGCATTAAAATAAAAAAAAAGATCAAAAAGACATGATAATTATTGTCTAAATAGTCTTATCAATCTTGCTAACAATGAGATTTAATATATCAGAATACCTATATTTAGATTTTTCCATATAAGACAAATTCTCAAAAATGAAAGTTACTGCAGATCATGTGATGACAAATTCTTATCAATTTCAGAGTTCTTCTTTTATTTTTTCAAAACAAACTAATTCAAGCTTGTCTAACCCATAGCCCACAGGCTACATGGGGCCCAGGTTGGCTCTGAATGTGGCCCAACACAAACATGTAAATGTCCTTAAAACATTATAAGATTTATTTGTGATTTTTTATTATCAGCTCATCAGCTGTCATTCACGTTAGTGTAATTTGTGTGTGGCCCAAGACAATTCTTTTTCTTCCAGTGTGGCTCAGGGAAGCCAAAAGATTAGACAGACACCTCTGAATTAGTTCAGTGCATTATGAACACTCTTACTTTGTATTACCATGAAGGCATTAAACAAAAAAAAAAATCAGCAGTATTTTACAATAACTGTGATGAGTACACTAGAAATTGCATAGAAATTAAATGCCCCTAATTAAAGGCCTGACAACATATATTGTCCAGTACATATTTTTACATATTGTCTACTACCAAGTTCCAACAGATAATTCAAGTGGTACTTAATAAACAAAAGGTGACCAAATGAGAAAATGAACTTATACAAAAGAAAGAAGAATGCTTCTTCTTCTGAACAATAGTGCAGACTGACAAAGATTCTTTGCCTGGCCAAACTTGATCAGGCTTCTGAATCTTCTCCTAGGCTCATCTGTATACTTCCTCATAAAATCACTTTTTAACAAAGAACCATACTATATCACTTTACCAAGAACTCCTCTACCTTTGATGAATGATCTATCTTGAAAACTCATCAGGTTTCTCATCCTGCACCACCCCTTAGGTGATGTCTGATCACCCTGACTTGTCTTCAGCAACAATCGTATTAGCGTGTTTTAGCCAGAATTCCCCTAATCTCTGATGTTTCCTCCTAGTAATTTTCCATCCAGTGACCCTGACCCTGCTCCTTGGTTATAAAGTCCCACTTGCCCATGCTTTATTTTTAGTTGAGTCCAATATCTCTCTCCAACTGCAAGACCTCATTGCAATGATTTCTATACCTATTGCAGTGGTCCTGAATAAGGTCTTTCTTACCATGTTTTAATGTATCATTAAATAATATTTTTATTTAACAATTGTCTAGAGGACTTTTAGAAGAAGATATTTACTAAATTATTTTTTTCTAAATACATCAGCCATGAAAGGATAGGGAATGCTGCAGGAACAAACCCTTAAACTTTCATTTTTTTCTTTACTTTTCATATCTACATATCTAATATGCATCAGCAAGTGGTCTCTTTTTATTGTTGTCATTGGCTAATGAATGTTTCTCCTCAACATGTTTTTCTCTGATCACAACAGCAGGGGCAGAGAATATGATTACTTGTATATTGGTTCTTTGAGTTTACATTTCATTAGTCAAAGCAAATACTTTTCTCCAGGCAAGAAAAGTACACCTCTAGTATGAATCAAAAGAGAGGAAGAACCAAACATTTTTGGTAAACAGCTCAAGTGCTTTTGTTAACAGCAGTGAATCCATATGGGTCTGCAGCAACTCGGTCCTAACCTCAGAGGAAAGAATGTGATTTAGGGGAAGAAGTAAGTTTAAGGCAGAGGGAGAGATTGAGGTGAGTTTTAGAGTAAGAGTGAGAGCTTATTAAAAAGTTTTAGAGCAGGAATGAAAGCAAGCAAAATACTCTTGGAAGACGGCTAAGTGGGTGACTTGAAAGATCCAAGTGCCTTGTTCATCCCTTCACTTGGGGGTTTTCTACATTGGCATGGTTTGGGGGTTTGCCATTCTCCTCCCTTGATTTTTCTTTTGGGGCAGGCTGTCCACATGCACAGTGCCTGCTGGTGCACTTGGGAGGGTCTTCATGTGCAGTATGTTTACTGAAGTTGTTGCATGCTTACTTGAGGCATTTTTGCCTTACCAGTTTAACATTCCCAGAAAAAGGTCATATACTAGTGAAATTCTGCCATTTTGCCTCTTAACGTGCATGCTTCAGCCCTCTTGCCCAACTTCTAAGCTCTTATTGGGAAGCTGCTGATCACCAGCTTCAAGTGTTTTCTATCTATTGGGAGACTATATTTCCCTGGCACTGGCTGTGATCAATTATTCTTTTACAGAAAAAGTTTAAAAGCCACCTAACCATCACCTGACGATCAGCTGACATTCCTGGGGGTGGTCCTCTCCTGCCCTGCTCATATCTGCCTAACCATCTAGTTGATATGGTTTGGCTCTGTGTCCCCACCCAAAACAAATTACAATGTCAAATTGTAATCCCCATGTATTGAGGGAGGGATCTGGTAGGTGGTGACTGGTTTATGGGGGCAGTTTCCCCCATGCTGTTCTCCCGATAGTGAGTTCTCACGAGATCTGATGGTTTAAAAGTGGCACTTCCATTTTTGCTCTTTCTGCCTCCTGCTGCATGTAAGATACACCATGCTTCTCCTTCACCTTCTGCCATGATTGTAAGTTTCCTGAGGTGTCCCTAGCCATTCAGAACTGTGAGTCAGTTAAACCTCCTTTCTTTGTAAATTACACACTCTCAGGTAGTATCTTTATAGCAGTGTGATAACAAACTAATACAGGAAATTGGTACTGGGATAGTGGAGTACTGTTAAGATGATAACCTGAAAATATAGAAGCAACTTTGGAACTGGGTAATGGTCAGAGGTTGGAACAGTTTGGAGGGCTCAGAAGAAAACAGGAAGATGTGGGAAAGTTTGGACCTTCCTAGAGACTTTGTGAATGCTTTCAACCAAAATGCTGATAGTGATACGGACAATGAAGTCCAGGCTGAGGTGGTCTCAGATGGAGGTGAGGAACTTATTGGGAACTGGAGCAAAAGTCACTCTTGCTATGCTTTAGCAAAGAGACTGGTGGCATTTTGCCCCTGCCCTAGATCTGTGGAACTTGGAACTTGAGAAAGATGATTTAGGGTATCTGGCAGGAGAAATTTCTAAGCAGCAAAGTATTCAAGATGTGACCTGTCTTTTTCTGAAAGCATACAGTCATAGGCATATATGAAGACATTATGTGAAACTGGAACTTATGTTTAAAAGGGAAGCAGAGAATAAAACTTTAAAGAATCTGCAGCCTGACCATGTGGTAGAAAAGAAAATCCCATTTTCTGGGGGAAAATTCAAGCTGGGTGCAGAAATTTGCATAAGTAACGAGGAACCAACTATTAATAGCCAAGACAATGGGAAAAATGCCTCCAGGGCATTTTAGGGATCTTCATGGCAGCCGCTCAAATCACAGGCCTGGAGGCCTAGGAGGGAAAAATGGTTTTCTGAGCTGGGACCAGGGCCCCACTGCTCTGTGCAGCCTTAGGACATGGCATCCTATGTCCCTGCCACTCTAGCTCCAGCCATGGCTAAAATGTACAGTTCAGGCCATTGCTTCAGAGGTGCAAGCCCCATGCCTTGGTGGCTTACATGTGGTGTTGGGCCTGCAGGTACATAGAAGACAAGAGTTGAGCTTTGGGAACCTCCACCTTGGTTTCAGAGGATGTGTGAAAATGCCAGCATGTCCAGGCAGATATCTGCTGCAGGGGTGGAGCCCTCATGGAAAACATCTACTAGCATAATGCAGAGGGAAAAAGTGGAATTGGAGTCCCCACTTGGGACTGCCTAGTGGAGCTGTGAAAAGAGTCCCACTGTCTCCTCCAGATCCTAGAATGATAGATCCACAGACAGCTTGCATCATGTGCTTGGAAAAACCACAAGCACTCAATGCCAGCCTGAGAAGGCAGCTGCAGGGGCAGTACCCTGCAGAGCCACAGGGACATAGCTGCCCAAGGCCTTGGAAGCTTACCCTTTGCATTAATGTGCCCTGGATGTGAGACATGGAGTCAAATGAGATTATTTCGAAGCTTTAAGATTTAATAACTGCCCTGCTGTGTTGTGGACTTGCATGGGGCCTGTGGTGCCTTTATTTGGGCCAATTTCTCACATACAGAATGGGTGTATATACCTAATGTCTGTACCCTCATTGTATCTTGGAAGTAACAACTTGTTTTTGATTTTATAGGCTTATGGGTTAAAGGGAATTGACTTGTCTCAGATGAAACTTTGAACTTGGACTTTTGAGTTAATGCTGAAATGATTTAAGACTTTAGGGAACTATTGAGAAGGCATGATTGGTTCTGAAATGTCAAAAGGACAAGAGATTTGGAAGAGGCCATGGTTGGAATTATATGGTTTGTCTCTGTGTCCCGACTAAAATCTCATGTTGAATTGTAATCTCCATGAATCTAGGGAGTGACCTGGTGGGAGGTGACTGGATCATGGGGCAGTTTTCCCCCTGCTGTTTTTGTGAGAGTGAGGGCATTCTCATGAGGTCTGATGGTTTAATAGTGATAATTCCCCCTTCACTCTCTCTCTCCTGCTGCCATGTAAGATGTTCCTTCCTCCCCCTTTCCCTTTTGCTGTGATTGTAAGTTTCCTGAGGCCTTCCCAGCCATTTGGAACTGTGAGTCATTTAAAATTATTTTATTATAAATTACCCAGTCTTAGTTATTCTTTATAGAAGTGTGAAAATGCACACTACTGTAACACTTTCACTTTAAATTGGATCAATCAGTTCAGCAACTATTTATTCCCAAACTTGTTGCTTCTTTGTTTTAGAACACCATTTGAATTGCAATAAAAAGAGTTGCTTAAGTTCTTTGTAGATTTGCGGGGGGAGGTGGGAGGGGAGAGGGACAGCATTAGGAGATATACCTAATGTAAATGACGAGTTAACAGGTGCAGCACACCAACATGGCACATGTATACATATGTAACAAACCCGCACGTTGTGCACATGTACCCTAGAACTTAAAGTAAAATAATAAAAAATAAAAAATAAAAATAAAAATAAGTTGAAACATAAAAAAAAAGATTTGCAACAAAACAGAAAGGCTCAATTTAATTATTCCAATTTTATTCATATATTAAATAAAATAGTTATGGTGAAGAATTTACAATATTTTGCTTTATTGAAATGTTATTATTTTGACTAGTAAAAGTGCCACACTATGGTGCTATTAATGTAAGCAGAATTACTAGAGATTTAGTAGTAGCAGAACATAAAATTTATCATGTATTTTCTCACAGGTCTTACAAGAGAAGAAACTGGTACTGAGGTTTACACTAATTTTATATGAAGTCTAAAAGTGGATTCTCTCCCTAAGATTGTACCTTGGTTAATCCTTTTTTCCTTCAATACATCCTAAGTTAAGTGTCATGATGTCTTACTATTTTTTCCACAGAATTAAGAGCATTTTAGCTTGCTAAAACATATATTATTTATTTTTCTTTTTTCATTTGTAATTTTGAAAATGCATGTGGTTGATTGGTTTATCCACTCTGTAGGGAGTAAGAGTTACATATTATATTGTACAGCAAACCTACACTTCCCTGGAATGGGGAGGCATTGAGACAGAATTATTGCACAGTTAAAAAAGAATTTAAGCCTTATTAACTGTCTACATTTTAAGCAGAAAGATAGTTTAAAGTAATATATTTTTGCTCTCAAACTATATCTAAACATTGAATATTTTTATGCATGCAATAAATATCTCCCTAAAAAACATGGACTAGTCATTTGATACTTGCTGGGAGGTTTTATTTTTACACCTTGGGGAGTAAAGATTAGAAAGTAACCTTCATAAAATTTGAGCTAGAAACATGGCGCACACGTACAATTAATTCTTTAAAAAAATACCTAAAGAGCAAACAAAATAAATGGTTTCAAAATCGAATGTTCAGTCAGCTGTTTCTACATTTAAGAAAAAGCATTTCTGCTGCCCTTTTCTTTGCTGTTTCTTTGCTACTTCCCACTTCATTTCTTATGTAACCCTTCATACTGTCCTTCTCTGTCACATTCTCATCATATCCCCAACTCTTGGTTTTATTGTCTCTGCCTAAAAAAAAGTCCTCTTTTAGAGAAACAAAGCAAAAAAAAAAAAAAAAAAAAAACAAGACTCTAAAATCTGACCTTCACCCTGCTAATAAAATGTATATATATATATTATATATATATACTTATTTTCCAAATTTATTAAAATTTTAACACAGCCAGTACAAGTTTTTTTTGTGAGAACACAATAGAGGAAGAGTATACTGAAACTGGATTTTACAGTTCAGAAGTAGTTTTCTAATATGACCCAAATCACTTCACTTACGAGTTTTCTTTGCTATGCAACAGAGATAATACTACTTTTAACTGATTTGTGAGGATAAAATGAGAAAATGCATCCACAATTTACTTAACATAATGCAATAAATTTGTGATGTAGATCTTACTGTGAGTTCTCAGACTCTACTATCCCAATAGAGTTTTTTGTTTGTTTGTTTTTGCTTGTCTGTCTAAAGTTTATCTACAACATACAATGGTAAAAATAAGGGCAAAATGTTAACTTCACCATTGTTTATATTTCTAATATTTATTAAACATAAAAGAGATGCATTCAATTTGAAAGCTTATTTAAGTAGTGCATTTATAATTGCTTTGGGGGGCCCGTGGGATTTTGAGGAGCTGCCTCAAAGAAAGTGGGGAGATGTGAGGCAAGGCTTCCAGCTCTAGCTTCAGTTAAAAAAAATCTTACTTTGTCTGTTTTTTTGAATAATATGTCATTAGAGGAAATGATTCATGGCCTTAAAAAACAACATAGAAATCTTCTTGTCTATTTGGGAGGCCGAGGCAGGCGGATCACGAGGTCAGGAGATTGAGACCATCCTGGCTAACACAGTGAAACCCCATCTCTACTAAATATACAAAAAAATTGAGCTTCCAGTGAGCCAAGATCACGCCACTGCACTCCAGCCTGGGCAACAGAGCGAGACTCCGTCTCAAAAAAAAAAAAAAAAAAAAAAAAAAAAAAAAAGAAATCATCTTGTCTAATGGAAAAAAAGGAAGAAAAACAACAAAATAAAACAGACTATAGCTAGTGGCTTTGTCTTGTCTTCTTCTCTATCTTTGGTTTAACTGGTGGACGGCTAGAAGTTTAAAGGCTTATCAACTCCAGCAATACTTGGTGTGTGTTCTTGAGGTATAGCAACAATATTGGTATTAATTTATGAGTTGCATAAAATTCATGTTTGACACTTGTTATCTCATCTCCAGTGATTTATTTAGAATGCTTTGGAGACCACAAACATAACAGAAATTTAGTAAATGAGGCATATTATACCTATGAATATATTTTAAACCTTATCTAAAAATACCATCAAAAATTAGCTTCTAGCAATAAAGCATAAATATTACAAATAATTCAATTTTGAGACATTTTTAAATAATAGTATCATTACTAATCTGGTTCTGGAAGTTACTGAATAATACAATAACTATCAGCTGAAAAAATCATTAATTTTATTCCTTTTAAGAAAATTACATTGCAAATAGGTATTTACATACCGGATCATCTGGATTATACTGAATAACATACTCTATCTGTCCATTTGGTCCATCATCTATATCTGTAGCTCCATTGTCTCCTGAAAATCCTGTGAATATTGTGGTACCAACTGGAGTGAGCTGAAAGGAAAAAAGATTTTAAATATCAATTTTCATTTTATCAACTGCACACCAGAAATGTTACAGCATAAAAATCAGCTCTTTATTACCTAAAGGAAGATACCAGTTGGCAGCCCACAACCACAAACTGAAGTGTTTCAAAAGAACAGTTTTGAGCCTTACACAGGAGTTCTTAAAATGTCTGAAATGTCCAACTTTGTGATTCTTGCTATGGGCGAAGAAGCAGAAGACGCTGATTCCGTGTTAAACACATTTGGACCAATTTATAGCCATTAGTATGTTAGCTCCTGTGGAGAAACTGCATCTGTTGTTTCTCCTCAAAACCCTTGATGCAATGTTACCCACAGGCTAGAATTTAAACTGTAAGAAAAAGTTAGTTTAAAATAAACGATTTACGAGTGAGCAATGAAATCCAGGCTGATGATTATATGCAAGTGGCAAGTTTGAGAAAGAGAAATTGGAGACAATGAATAGTCTGTATATTAGAGGAAAATACTGGGAGTTTCTTGAGTCCTTCTGATATTGGTTGAGTAGAACATGATCAGGTCACAGCAGCTGGAGAGATAGCAACATCTTTTCATTTTGGATTAAAACATCAGAACTTAATATGTGTGGCATACAAAACCATGATTTGATGTGTGACCTAAATTGCTAGTCTTAATTCTTACTTATGCCCACAAGAGAATCACCGTTATTTTTTTTTACCTGTAGGTTTTTGCGCAATGTGCTCTTATAACCAGAGTAATTTTTTTAAATTTTCCCCTCCCAGTTTTTAGGTTTTAGCTGAAATACTACTCATTAGTTAAATTTCAACTTAATTAGATATCAGCTTCTCCCATACCACCCCTCAAATAGCATTACACACGCCACATCAGAAGATGATTCCCCTTTTCTTGTGCTTGCATTTTGCACTTTGTTCCTATAATCATTGCATTGTTAGAGGAACTAAATGCACTTCATCAATAAACATAAGCTCTGTGCCTCTACAGACTGGACGCTTTTAATGTTTGCTCAGGGATTTGTTCTCTTAATTTTTGACTAGGATTCCTTGATGGTAAAAATAGCTTAAGAGGCAACAAAAAAGTTGCCTTATTCAGTTTTACTTTCAGAAACTGAAAATTCACATTTTACAAGGATCCCTCAGGTAATGTAAATGAGTGAAGCAAGCATGATGAGACGGTGGAAAATAGATAGAACATGCCCTCTCTGATGCTACTCAGAGAGGGTAGCTGCTACTAGTAGCTGCTACTCAATCCCAGCAAATTCTTGCCATCTTGGAATATGGAGCCCATGCTACCAAGTCTTCTAATATTTTAATTGTATATAAAATATCTTGATGCTAAGATTGACAACAGATTTTTATTATTTATTTATTTATTTTTGAGATGGAGTCTCACTCTGTCACCCAGGCTGGAGTGCAGTGGCACGGTCTCGGCTTACTGCAAGCTCTGCCTCCCGGGTTCACGCCATTCTCCTGCCTCAGCCTCCCAAGTAGCTGGGACCACAGGCGCCCACCACCACGCCCGGCTAATTTTTTGTATTTTTAGTAGAGATGGGGTTTCACCGCGTTAGCAAGGATGGTCTCGATCTCCTGACCTCATGATCTGCCCACCTCAGCCTCCCAAAGTGCTGGGATTACAGGCTTGAGCCACCGCGCCCGGCTGACAACAGATTTTTAAACATTAAAATATAAATAGGTAAAATAAAATATGCCCATTGCCTCAACAACTACACTAGTTTGCAATCTCTGATTTAGGAAAAGAATATAATTATGACTTAAAAATAAACCATAAGTACAAGGAAGTTCAGGATTTATAAGGCCCAGTTTCCTAGCAGGCAGCATTGAAGGCAAACTTTGGAGAGCTGAGAATGAAGTGAGACGAGATCGTTTAAGTAGTACCTATGAGGACATCGAGGGACCACTGGGGATAGATTTAGTAGAAATGTTAGTCAGCTAAATTGCTTCCAAGCTGACGTTCAATATTTTTCTTTTTTAATGGAATTCCTGTTGCAAAAGACATCCTTATCTTTTATAAATATTCACCCATTCTTATGTAGCTGTACTTTGATATTTTTATTACCAACTTATTTTTAAATCAACATATAGAATTTTGTATATTTGTTGTGTACAACATGTTGTTTTAAAATATGTATACCTTGTGTGATGGCTAAACCAAGCTAATTAACATATCTATTATATACTTTTTTGTGGTGAGAGCACTTAAAAAATCTATTTTCAAAAATAGATAGTTATTAACTATAGTTACCATGTTGTACAATAGATTTATTGAATTTATTAGTTCAAGAAATTTAAATTTTGTATCCTTTGACCAACATCTCTCAATCCATATCCCAGCCCCTAGTAACCACTCTTATACTGTCTGCTGCAATTACTTCAACTACTTTAGATTCCACATACAAGTGGGATCATGTAGTATCTGAATATCTGTGCTTGGCTTGTTTCACTTAACATAATGTCTTCCAGGTTTATCCATAATTTTCAAACTGTGAAATTTTATGATTGGATGACATTGATTTGTTTCCATATATCTAATAAACTTAAAAATTTTGTTGCCAAAAAATACTATGTCATGGAGGTAGATATAAAAGCAAAACAAAAAATCAAAATAAAACAAACAAATTTTAAAAAATTAAACAGTATCGTCTGTGGAAATTTTGAGGAAATAAAGGGGGTGCCCATGCCTTTCAATCTGCTTACTGGGGTAATGTATACTATTGGACCAGATTTATTTTGAAGAGCAGGATCCCAAAGCCCTACAACTTAGGGAGATAAAATTGGTCTTGCGGGGAAGATATAGGACATCCAGGGAGAACTTCACGTTTGCCACTCTTAATCAAGATTAAATTTCTGGAATAAATATTTATATGACAGAAATTTGTTGGAATAGATGGTTTGAAAGATTTTAGTCCTTACAATGTAATATTTGTAAAGTTGAAGGCATATTTCTAAATTCAATATGCAAACTATTGAAAAGATCAATGTTTTTCTCTAGCTCTACAATGTTTTTTTGAAATGATGAAAAGGCCACATAAAAGTAGCATGATGTCTTAATATATTACCATCAAGTAATATTTTTCTTCATCACTGACATGGCTTTTTCCATGCAGAAATCACATTTGTAAGTATAATGTTTAATATGTAGTCCTTTAAAATAAACTCTACATTGTTATAATGTTTAATATGTAGTCCTTTAAAATAAACTCTACATTGTATTTCTTTGATTGACTTTCAAAAAATATACTTGCTGATGAAGCCTACCAAAGATTGATAATAGACCACAGGAAAAAAATTGAATATGCATTTGCTTATGGTTTCAATTTTAAGCTTAATCCAAAGAGTAATTCAATTTCAAATGTTCTCATTTCAGAATATGAGCTCATTTTGTGTGCCACAGGTAAATTTCCCTAATCATATTTGTGTGGCCATATATACTTTTATTATTTCTGAAAAATTGCAAGTAGAAATATGATTCTATAATAAATTTCATTAATTTATATCTTTGAATAGAAAATAAAAGAGAAACAATTGTATTAGCCGTAGGAATAGAGAAAACCTTTTTTCTATAATGATATTATATAAAGGTTATGAATCATCCCTAAATATAATTTTAAGGTCTTTTTTAGACAAAATTTTAGATTCCTTGAAAATTAAATGAAAAGCATTAGTGTAATAGCAATAGATTTCAGCATGTTCTTTCATTCATGGCTGTCTTTCTTGACAATTTCAGTAAAAATTTCTCCCTAATTTCACAAATATGGTATTTACTGGCTGACAGGGGAGGATGGGCAGGCTCAGGAATTGTCCCAAGGTGAGGTTTGCTCTCCTCCATAGTTCCACATTTAAGGCAAATGTCTTAGCACAGATCACTCCTGTGTATTTCTACTACTAGATTGTGCAAGCATGTACAAATAGCCATTCATATGTAAAATGCAACACAAAATGGATCAGTCATACATTTTTCTCATGATCTGCTCAAATTTCATGATTTGTTCAAATGGTAGACCTGTTCACATATGAGATAGGGTTGAGGCTAATATGAGAGAAATAGCCGAGAAAAAAGAAGATAAGTTATATGGGCAAACATGGGAGGTCTGAAAAGTCTAAAAAGGCTCTAATGAAGAGGCCTATGCCAGATGCAAAAAAGCAGAAGAAAGTAGAAGCAGAAAAAATGTTTTTTAAAAAATAGTAGATCCTGGCCAGATGCCATGGCTCACACCTGTAATCCCAGCACTTTGGGAGGCTGAGGCAGGAGGATTGCTGCTTCAAGTCTGAGAGTTTAAGAGTTTGAGAGTAGAGATAGATAGATAGATAATAGGCCTGGACACGGTGGCTAACGCCTGTAATCCCAACAATTTGGGAGGCTGAACTAGATGGATTACTTGAGGTCAGGAGTTGGAGTCCAGCCTGGCCAGCATGGTGAAATCCTGTCTCTACTAAAAATACAAAAATTAACCAGGCATGGTGGTGCACACCTGTAGTCCCAGCTACTCAGGAGGCTGAGGCAGGAGAATCCCTTGAACCCAGGAGACTGAGGTTGCAGTGAGCTGAGATCGTGGCACTGCACTCCAGCCTGGGGCGAGAACAAGACTCTGTCTCAATTTAAAAAAAAAAAAAGATAGATAGATAGTAGGTGGTTATATGTATATTATATTCAGATCTTTTTTGTGCTATTATAAAACTGTGAACAAAGAGACCTACCTTATGTTTCATAGATAACTCTTTAATGCTATATCTCAAAATCACAACTACCTTATTATCATTACAAAAACCAAACAAAAGACATGGCAGAAAGCCCACACCTAAATGGGCAGGTAGCATTGAAATGTATGCAAAAACAGAGTGTTAGTAGTGAACTGAAATAAATTTAAAAGGTCCCTCTTGACAGCCTATTTGCATCCAAAAGCTCTTTAAAGACAGACCATAATTTTTTTCTTTTTAAAAAAATATTTCATAGCATCAATTGTAGAAACTGGTTCATCAGTAGAAACTCAATTAATTATTCTTATTTATATATATTATTTATGCAGATGAGACTGAAACTTTTCACAATTTCTTCATATTTTAATATACTAAATCCTCTACAAGGCCTCTATACTGGAATACTGTATCCACATCCTCATCCTCTACCTGCCTGTTCCTGGTTCCTCGGACAACCTCACTTTTAGAGGTGATTTCCACCCATTCATTATGCTGTTCAATTGCAACAGGATGGCCAGAGCTTCTGGCAGCTCACTGTCAAAAAACCCTGCCCACCTTTTTTTGCTTCCATGAAGAAAAATATGTAGATTTCACTGTGAAGTCTAGTTCTTCCCATGCTCTTGCCAGTTTTCCTACAAGAAAATTTTCTACAGACTGTCCATGAATAAACTATAACCATAATAGGACCCAATACAGCAAGCACATGCAAGTAGAATAACCTTATATTCACGAAACCGATGGTATGCTGTTCACTTGGAATAAAATATTGAGAAGGATATGTGGTAGAAAGTCCTCCACAAATCATAATATTGTGTTGTACATATATATTTGGTGATTAGAAAATTCCACTGGCATCAATATCATTGTGTTGGTAGATAACAATGATTTTCTGTTTCATATTTTCTGGAGTCTCATGTGTCATATCAACACAGAAACAAAAAGTTTAGTAAAAAATAAAATACTAAAAAATGATTTCTGAATACCTAAAATAGTTTACACATGTATTCCACACCAATGCCTTCTGATAGATTCTAATGGCTTTAATGATTAAACAGAAACCATATGAGAGTCCTAAGAAGAGAAAACATATATTTTTATGTAATAGACACAACTTAAATAATACCTCTTCAACTGGAAGACAATTGGTACAAAAGGATATTATTCAATTTGGAAACTTGCCCCCAAAAAGAGCCACCCTAGAGGAAAAATTTAAAATACGATTGATGAGATTTTACTTTTTCCCATGCTTCCTCAAGAATCCAAGTTTTTTGTTTTCTCCTACCCAGGAAAAATGGAGAATATCTGAAGGATACTGAATTTTAGATAAGCTGAAACAGAATTAATCACTACAGTTACTTATCATATAATGATGATTTGATGAAAGAAATGCTACCGGGGTGGCAGGTGCTCTATTTCTACTAATAGACATTAACAAAAAAGAAGCATTACCTTTAGTGATGCAAGATTACATATCAGCCTATGTTAAAACACTACACATTTATTTTCCAATTGTTAATATCATTGATCTGATTTATAGTATTAGGCAGCCACTTCATGTCAATTAATCTCCTAGAAAACCCAATCAAGATAAGGCAACATTCTGTACAAATTATCATTACTAGTGAAACTGAAGGAATCTTCCACGTTTAATCAACAATGAGAACTATGATTCATCCTTTAACTTTCTCCCCAGATAAAATAATGTTATAGATTCATTCTTGCAATTAATCCCTGCCTTGGAAATATGCTTTAGAAATGGTAAATTTAGAAATTTTAAACCAAAGATTCTCCACACATGAAATCCAGAGTTGATTTTGTAAACAGGCAGTCATCAGTGGAATATTATTGAAAAATTCAACATTTTCTGACAATTATGAAATTACAATGTCTCTGAATCTACGATTATTTATTGAGAAAATATCGTTTGCCAAATCATTGTTTCTGTGACCATTATATTGGTCTTACTTTAACTAGTAAATATAACATTTGTTTTATTCAACCATTTTTCCAAATCAAACATCCGTTTGAAGTCCATCTTAAAACTTTCCAGAACTGATAAAAAAAATACATATTCTTGAATTCAAATACAGTGCAAGTTATCTTGTAATGATTTATTAACATTAAAGAAAACATAAGAAAAGAGGTATAGCCCTTTTTGTCTAGTTAACATTAACTTATGAAGGTACAATTTATATTAAACAAAATGCAGAGATCTTAAATATTCAGTATGTTGAGTTTTGACAATTTCATGAACCCATGTAATGAACACCTACACAAAAAATATAATATTTTTATCACACTGTAAAATTTCCTAATATCCCTGTACAGACTATCTTGTCAGATGCAGCTGCTTTTGACTTCAATCAAAATTGCTTAGTTTTGCCTGTTCTTGGACTTCAATAGAGTGTGTACCCTTTCCTATCTGGCTTCTTTTGCTCAACTTAATGTTTTTTTTGTTTGTCCTTGGTCCATCTATTTTATTCTGTTTCATTAATGTTTTTCAGATTCCCTTTAACATAATATGGTTTTCATACCTGTGTTAAAAATCTTGATTTCATTAAAAATCTTGATTCCATTTTTTATCACAAAGACTAGATGATTAATATTAAGGGTTACTTTCTCTGAATAAATAATAGACAAATTCATGTAGATAAGTGTATTTAAAATAAAAAAAGAATTATTACTGTTACAGAGAATGATAAATAACTCTATCTTTACTAAAAACTGAGGAGCAATTAAGCTTAAGTTGAATATACATATGAGCTTATTTATTTATTTATCTATTTATTTATTTTTGAGATGACGAGTTTCGCTCTTGTTGGCCAGGCTGGAGTGCAATGGCACAATCTCGGCTCACCGCAACCTCCACCTCCTGGGTTCAAGCAATTCTCCTGCCTCAGCCTCCCAAGTAGCTGGGATTACAGGCATGCGCCACCACGCCTGGCTAATTTTGTGTTTTTAGTAGAGACGTGGTTTCTCCATGTTGGACAGGCTAGTCTCAAACTCCCGACCTCAGGTGATCCGCCTGCCTCGGCCTTCCAAAGTGCTGGGATTACAAGCAAAAGCCACTGTGCCCGGCCCATATGAGCTTAGAAGTTGTTGAATATTTGAATACTTGAATGTTGTAAAACAGCTAAAAAATTGATTCCCACGTACATGCTTAAAGTAAAAAGAAATGTATTAATATGTGCTTCTTTCACTTCCTTTAATCTCCTTATCTCTTTCTCTTTTTTAACTGTTTCCTGATTCTCAGAGAGAATGTGCCCATCCTATGGAAGAGAAAAATGGGGACAAGTAAGAGGAACTAGAGATTAGTCTTACTTCTTTCTTTAACTTTAGATTAAGTGCCAGTACTGCATATTCAAAGAAATTCCATAAATGGGGATGCTCCTGAAGGCCCAGTGATTTTTATTCCTTGAAAAGTTGAAGATATCGAGTTTTGAACTCCATGATCCATGTTTCTAAACCATAATTTATTTCATATTAAAAAATCACTTAATTATACCTAGAAATTGTAAACAAAACACACAAAATATGTAAAAAAGGATATTCAACTCTATAAGGAATGTCAGTGTTATGCTTCTCATGAATACTGTCTGTGCTTTTAGATTTACCAGAATAATTCTGATAAAAACAGATGTTCAAAATATATGTATTAAATGGAAGGAGATGATATAACCACAATGAAATGTAAAAGAATAGCATAAAACTATGAGAAATGGATTTGGAAAGCAAAAACTCAAATTAGATAGATTCAGAGGTAATGTTAATTTCACCACAAAGCTGAAGTCTCAATAATGTTCCACTAATTACTGCCTGTTTATAAGTGTATCTCTACACTTTCATGTGTGGAGAAACTCTTGGTTTTCAAATCTGTCACTATTTCCAAAGCGTATTTCCAAAACAGGAGGATTGCAAAAAAAAAAAAAAAAAAAAAAAAAATGGCTAAAACCTGCACTAAGTATTTTAAAAGTATCACCTCCTTTAATCCTCAATACAAGTTTATATCATTATTTATTTTGTTATCATACTTATTTTATGGTTACAAAATTATAGGCTTAGAAAGCTTCTGCCTGATGTTATTATTCTAATACTTGGTGAATAATCTGAAATGATATAATTTAGATTATGTATCTCATTAAAGATAATTTATTTTGGGCCCCTAAGAAAAATGTTTTGGGTTATTTTACAGAAGGAGAAATAAATTCAACTTAATTATAAAATATCTCAAATAATATATGGCACAGTGTCTTGTTTAAAAGTATTCATTCTTAAACACTGTGCAATATGTTATTTGAGAAATGTTAGAATTCACTATTAATGAACTTCTGAAAAAATGAGAAATAAACAGGAAAACAAAATGTGGCACATAACAGAACCCAAGATTCACAGACAATCTGAAACCATATAATTTAGATTATGTATTAAAGATAAATTATTTTGGGCCCTAAGAAAAATATTTTGGGTTATTTTACAAAAGGAGACATAAAATCAAATTAGCCAGTACCTGCATTTTAGGAAACTCTTCTTCAAATAATTATTACTGTCAGAAAAAAATTGGTTCTCAGCAAGCAAATTATTTAATAAATTTCCAAATTCACCATGATTTCAGTGTGCAAACCTTTACATTAGTAATCAAATCTCTATTGCTAGAACATGCCTAAACCATTGAAAAGCATTCAATAAGCGCTCAAGGAGCAAAGAGAAGAAGAAATATAGCCAACCACAGTAATTTACACTTTCCTCAATTATATTTCAAAAAATAATATTTCAACAATCACTAATAAAAATGGTGGGTAAAAGTTCAATGAGAAACAGGATAGTTACAGTCTTAACCTAGTTCCCCACAATATAGCTTTAATACTTATTAAGTATTAAGTACAAAATTACTGGTAAATACAGAAGGGAAAGCTGGAAGACACTGTTTTGTCAAAGTGATAAAAGCCATCACTACCAATAATGAAACAGATACATTGTGTGTCTTTTGTGTTACATGCTATGATAAAAACAGTATCATTTTTGAAACATTCATGCACAAAGTCTACGAATCATGAGAAAATATCAGGTGAATTAAAATTTAGAGACATTTTATACACTCCTCTGGTCCTGAAAAATATTAAGGTCATGAAAGTCAAGGAAGTATTGTGGAAATGCTAAAATTGAGACTAAAAAAATTGAAAACTAAACTTGGTTTTAGGAAATACACAATAAAGTAGTAAGGGCTGAAGAAGTTTCATATTTTCAACTTAATTTTCATTAGTATAAAATAGTTATGTATTTATATATGACATATAGTATACATTATATATAATTACATGGTATATATACACTTAATGTATGACATACTTATATATACATATAATATATGCTGTATATTTATCATACACACAAAAATCTACCTCTATGTGACTATTTATCAATTAGTAAGAGGAAAGAAATATTGTCTGACCAGTGAGTCTCAATACTGTCAAGGTCATCAAAAACAAAAAAAAAGCAAAAACTATCACAGTTTAGAGGAGACTGAAGAAACATGGTAAATAAAAGTAATTGTTATTCTGTATGGGGACCTGGAATCAAACAGGACATTAGGTAAAAAGCTTATCCACCATGATCAAGTGGGATTCATCCCCGGGATGCAAGGCTGGTTCAATATACACAAATCAATAAATGTAATCCCCCATATAAACAGAACCAAAGACAAACACCACATGATTATCTCAATAGATGCAGAAAAGGCCTTTGACAAAATTCAACAACCCTTCATGCTAAAAAATCTCAATAAATTAGGTATTGATGGGACTTATCTCAAAATAATAAGAGCTATCAATGACAAACCCACAGCCAATATCATACTGAATGGGCAAAAACTGGAAGCATTCCCTTTGAAAATGGGCACAAGACAGGGATGCCCTCTCTCACCACTCCTATTCAACATAGTGTTGGAAGTTCTGGCCAGGGCAGTTAGGCAGGAGAAGGAAATAAAGGGTATTCAATTAGGAAAAGAGGAAGTCAAATTGTCCCTGTTTGCAGATGATGACATGACTGTATATCTGAAAACCCCACTGTCTCAGCCCAAAATCTCCTTAAGCTGATAAGCAAATTCAGCAAAGTCTCAGGATACAAAATCAATGTACAAAAATCACAAGCATTCTTATACACCAATAACAGACAAATAGAGAGCCAAATCATGAGTGATCTCCCATTCACAACTGCTTCAAAGAGAATAAAATACCTAGGAATCCAACTTACAAGGGATGTGAAGGACCTCTTCAAGGAGAACTACAAACCACTGCTCAATGAAATAAAAGAGGATACAAACAAATGGAAGAACATTCCATGCTCATGGGTAGGAAGAATCAATATCGTGAAAATGGCCATACTGCCCAAGGTAATTTATAGATTCAATGCCATCCCCATCAAGCTATGAATGACTTTCTTCACAGAATTGGAAAAAACTACTTTAAAGTTCATATGACACCAAAAAAGAGCCTGCATCGCCAAGTCAATCCTAAGCCAAAACCACAAAGCTGGAGGCATCACGCTACCTGACTTCAAAGTATACTACAAGGCTACAGTAACCAAAACAGCATGGTACTGGTACCAAAACAGAGATATAGATCAATGGAACAGAACAGAGCCCTCAGAAATAACACCACATATCTACAACTATCTGATCTTTGACAAACCTGACAAAAACAAGAAATGGGGAAAGGATTCCCTATTTAATAAATGGTGCTGGGAAAACTGGCTAGCCATATGGAGAAAGCTGAAACTGGATCCCTTCCTTACACCTTATACAAAAATTAATTCAAGATGGATTAAAGACTTAAACATTAGACCTTAAACGATAAAAAACCCTAGAAGAAAACCTAGGCATTACCATTCAGGACATAGGCGTGGGCAAGGACTTCATGTCTAAAACACCAAAAGCAATGGCAACAAAAGCTAAAATTGACAAATGGGATCTAATTAAACTAAAGAGCTTCTGCACAGCAAAAGAAACTACCATCAGAGTGAACAGGCAACCTACAAAATGGGAGAAAGTTTTCGCAACCTACTCATCTGACAAAGGGCTAATATCCAGAATCTACAATGAACTCAAACAAATTTACAAGAAAAAAACAACCCCATCAAAAAGTGGGCAAAGGACATGAACAGACACTTCTCAAAAGAAGACATTTATGCAGCCAAAAAACACATGAAAAAATGCTCACCATCACTGGCTATCAGAGAAATGCAACTCAAAACCACAATGAGATACCATCTCACACAAGTTAGAATGGCAATCATTAAAAGTCAGGGAACAACAAATGCTGGAGAGGATGTGGAGAAATAGGAACACTTTTACACTGTTGGTGGGACTGTAAACTAGTTCAACCATTGTGGAAGTCAGTGTGGCGATTCCTCAGGGATCTAGAACTAGAAATACCATTTGACCCAGCCATCCCATTACTGGGTATATACCCAAAGGACTAGAAATCATGCTGCTGTAAAGACACATGCACATGTATGTTTACTGCAGCACTATTCACAATAGCAAAGACTTGGAACCAACCCAAATGTCCAACAGTGATAGACTGGATTAAGAAAATGTGGCACATATACACCATGGAATACTATGCAGCCATAAAAAATGATGAGTTCATGTCCTTTGTAGGGACATGGATGAAACTGGAAATCATCATTCTCAGTAAACTATTGCAAGAACAAAAAACCAAACACCGCATATTCTCATTCATAGGTGGGAATTGAACAATGAGAACACATGGACACAGGAAGGGGAACATCACACTCTGGGGACTGTTGTGGGGTGGGGGGAGGGGGAGGGATAGCATTAGGAGATATACCTAATGCTAAATGACGAGTTAATGGGTGCAGCACACCAGCATGGCACATGTGTACATATGTAACTAACCTGCACATTGTGCACATGTACCCTAAAACTTAAAGTATAATAAAAACAAAAAACAAAACACAGGGAATTAAAAATGAATAAATTTGGTTCTCTATATATGTACATAGTGCTCTAACTTTTTAAAGCTTAAATAAACCTTTAAAAAACTAAAAAAAAACAAAAACTAAAACCATCTGAATAAGCTATGAATTTGAATTAATAATGTACCAATGTTGGTTTATTAGTTGTTACAAAAAATGTACTATATTAATTTAAGAAGTTAACAATCAGGGAACTGTATATGGGACATATGAGAACTGTACACTTCTATTAAAATATCACTTAGGTCTAAATTGTTCTCATATTATTTAAATAAATAATGTAAAATATAGTTGTAAATAGACCATTTCCATTACCATTTTCATTATAACAAAGCTCAAGACTTGAATATATCATTTAATATAAGAAAAATAATGTTTAAATGTAATATAGCTTTACTTCTATTACATTTAATTTTTATAAATATAATGCACATTGAACCAATTATTTGTCAACAAATTTAATAAGATATACTTATAGAATGAAACAGAGTAAACAGAGAGGAAGAGATAGATTTTCATGTTTTTCTGTGCTTTCATTTGGCTGAAGTTTGGTTTTTTGTGTGTCTGCTAATTGATAAAATCATTAAAAATGTTTTTAGTCATTCCTTTAAAATTTCAAAGAAAAGCTAAAATATTTAAAAACTCATTGTTTAAAATTAAGAGCTAATTGATGCAGTAGGTATTGATGAAAGATATGATTATGTCATGTTAGGAGAAACAAGCATAATAATATTTAAAATAAATTAATATGCAATTACTAATTAAATCAGCATGTAATACCAGGTAAGAAGAAATACTGAAACTGGTCTAATCATCCCACAGAACTGATGTTTATGTTTTCGTCTGAATAAACCTAGAAACTGATGCTCCCAGTTCTGAAACTTGCAAAAGTTACATTTGCCCTGTCTGAGTTCCTTTCCCAGGAAACCAACCATTAGACCTCCCAGGTAGTATCAAGGAACTGGAGTTTGCCAGATCGCCACATCAGGAAAATGAGATGCCAGACCGCTTACCTGTCTTGATTGTCTAACCAACCACCTGCTTCCTATTGACCTTCATTTCCCCTCCCTAATTCCCATTTTCCCACATATGATTACTTTTCTTCCCTGCTATATAAACCGGCAATTTTAGTCAGCCAAAGAAATGAATTTGAGGCTAATCTCCCATCTTTTTGGCTGAAGCACCTGATTAAATCCTTCTTTTCTGGCAATGTTTGTTGCCTCAGTGATTGGCTTTCTGTGTGGTGAGCGGCAGGACCTAGACCAAAGCCCTGGCATTTTGGTAAAAATTACCTCTATGGTGAGCTAACTATTATGCATGTAGTTGGGCAGGGTGTTCATCTTCATGGGTCCCATTTCATTACCTTTTAGAGTTTTTTCATAAATTTGTGGGATTCTATAGAAAAGTTATTAAAGGTTATATATTCAGTCAATTATAACTTTTTATAACCATATAATCACATCTGCTTTTTCAGCCATTGAATTTTGATCCTACATCATCATCATCATCCTATCATTCTATTCTTCATCCTATAGCTATTATTTTGTAAGTAAGGTCTTTTACAGTGTCCCCTCATGATCAATTAAAGGGCATTTTCTGGTTGCTACTCTTACAAAGTTTGAATAGAATAAAAATCAGAACTTGTGTTGATTTGAATTGACAAATTTATCATAGGGAAAGTGCCCATCTGTGAATAGAATGAAGTTTAAAAGTATGTTTATTAGTCTTGCTGTTATATGGGATTTAGCATTCTTCATTTTGTTTGGTTATACCACTATGTTAACCATTTATTTTTCTTATTTCAAAAATATAACTAGAAATATAATTAGAATTGACATGACATACAGTTATTCCATAAAAGAAGGTGGTAAAAACAAAAATACAGTTGTCCCTTGCCATAGCCAGATTATTAGTTCTAGGATTCATGTATATACCAAAATCTGCACATACTCAGGTCCCTAATTGACCCTGTAAAACCCACAGAGGTTTCACATCCATGAATATTGTATTTCCATCTATGCTTAGTTGAAAAACTGCATGTACAAGTGGACCCTCACAGTTAAAATTCGTGTTGTCCAAGGGTCAACTGTAAAGTTTAATAAAATATTTCCTCAAAAAGAAATGCTTCATGGTGAAAATAGGTGTATTTTACTTTTAGAATAATATTTTAGGAATCATGATTGGATGAAAGCAGAAACTGCTGGATATAATTAGAAAGCTCATTGTCATCATCGTTCCTACCATTCAATGAGTGTTATCTATTCATTGCATGCACCCAGCACCATAGGTCTCATGTTACATTCTCTGTATCCTTTAACCTTTAATAACTACCCTAAAAGTATTATAGTTTTTTTTAATTGAGAAAACTAAGTCCATTAGAAATTAATTAATTTTCCATTATTATACAGGTAGGAAGTGGTCATCCTAAAACTGAAACCTATGCTGTGTGACTCAATAGATTATTCCCTTTTCTCATAACACTGAACCTTGAACATGATTATTTTACTAAACTGAATCAAGTGCAACTTTTCTGAAATTAGTATTAATATTTATTCATATTAATGGTCTTACACTCTACACTTTCAGATTTTAAGACTCGGGAAATAAATATGAATTTTCAAAATCGCATGGAATTTTCTCTATGTACTCAAGCCCTATCAGTCTCTTGCCTAATGTATGTATACAATATGGTGAGCAAGTGCTCAGTTTTGGAGTGAGAATGTTTTGGTTACTGACTTAGATTGGCTACTTATCAGCAGTGAGATCTTGAGCAAATTCATTAATGCTTCCCTATTTCTACACTTTCTCATCTGTAAAATGAAAACAATGAACACACAAAGTTTGAGTCTGTGGGCAGCTATCTATAAGTACTAAGTAAGTTATTTCATGGAAAACACTTAGAATTTGCTTGGCACACAATGCAATTAATAAATGGTAACTCAATGGTAATTATTATAATTCACTTATTATTGTAAAATACCTTTATTTCATTCAAAGTCAGGAGGTATGATATCAGAAATGTGGTAAACATATCTATGCAGTATTCTTATTATGAACAAATTTGGATAAGAACAAATTTAAAATTGGTCTAGTATGAAATTAGTTCCTAATGAGTATGCCTAATGACAAAAGGAGTAAGAAAAATAAACATTAAAATTATTATAAATCTAAAGTTTGAAGACATTTAACCTGGTAAGCAGGACATAATTTTCTATATACTTGTTATGTCAATATTTACCAAAAAACTTGATTCTTTCAGAAACTCAAGGTTATTTAAACTGCTAATACTCACCTTCCTAAATTGTGAATGGCATTTTAAATGTAAATTTATGAAGCATCCTTTAAAATTTCATGTTATTAATACTGAAAGAAACAGAACTTGATTAAACACAAATTCATTAAGCTGACTGTGAAGCACTTGGGACCCTTTGCGTTGATCCTTATAGAGCCGTGCGTCTAGAAAAACCTTTCAACGAAAAGAAAAGGTACATTTGGTCAAAGGGGAATCATATTAATGTTGCTTAATCAATGAGTTTAGTATTTCCGGGACATGAAAAGTAGGGTAAAAAAATCTCAAGTGGCATGACAGTCATATAATGAATAAATACATAATTTCTCTCTAATGTTTTATAAATAGACCGTAATTCATATAGTTCATATTTATCAAGTTTTAAAAAGTGTTTTTTGTTGTTCTTGTCATTATTCTTGTTTTAATCTATGTAATTTATTATAATAATCTGGAAAGGTTATACTCGTTTCTTTAAAAAATTTACTCTATATGAGCTTCTTCATAAATTTAACTCAAAGCAAACTCTTGCTTTCTATCTCAGGAACATCAGCGTAGAAATATATATGTTATAGGATATTTTTCTGTATGATAACTGTGCCATTCCTAATTTAATGATAAACCTACTTATAGTACTTCTGTAATGTGCCAGGCACTGTTCTACTCAATGAAAAACAAAGTGCCAGCTTTAATGCAGATTCAATTTTAAAGGGGTAGATATCATAACAAAAAGCAAATACATATGCAGTATTGTTGCAGATAAGTGGTATAAAGATAACCAGCTTCAGATAGTCTGTTACAAGAGTCATAAAATATGCAGGTCATTTATCATACATGGAAAAGTTGTGGGGCTTTTTTCTTTCTATTTTAAAATTTATTATGTGTCTTCATTGAACCTTGTGAGGCAAAAATTCTAATACTACCATTTTCGTTTTCAGGTGAGAAATCTGAAGTACAGAACAAATTAAATGAAATGTTTTTAAGAAAGACAAATGAAACTAACAAATGGTAATCCAGCACCAGCATCACTGTATATTTGTATTGTCAGCAGATTTAGCTACTATGGAAAATCTTTGAAGAATCTTTCTCAACATGATTTTTGATATACACATGCTCTAATTTATTGTGGGTATATTCAACAGAGTAGAATTGCTGAGTCATAGGGTGTCTGCCTGTTCAGTTTTTGTTGACACTACAAAATAACTAATGTAATTGTGCCAATTTACTTATCTACCAACAATGTATGAAAGTTGTGATTATCCATATCTCTACCAAAACATGAGAGTATATTTTCTTTCAATTCAAAGTGTAATTGAACTTAAAATAAATAAATATAATTAAAACTCCATTTTGGTAGGTATTATAATCCATGGATGGATTACTTTTAAAAATTTCATTTTTTATTTGTTGCTGATGTATAAAATTTATTTCTTTTAAAAAATATTGGACGGTCACAGTGGCTCATGCCTGTAATCTCAGCACTTTGGGAGGCTGAGGCAGGCGGATCACCTGAGGTCAGGAGTTCGAGACCAGCCTGACCAACATGGAGAAAACCCATCTCTACTAAAAATACAAAATTAGCTGGGTGTGGTGGCGCATGCCTGTAATTCCAGCTACTCGGGAGGCTGAGGCAGGAGAATCGCTTGAACCCTGGAGGCAGAGGTTGTGCTGAGCCAAGATCGTGCCATTGCACTCCAGCCTGGGCAAAAAAGAGCAAAACTCTGAAAAAAAAAAAAAAAATTGACCTTGTCTGCAGTAAACTTGCTGAACTCACTTTTTAACTGTAATTTTTTTTTTCTGTAAATACTGTTGGGTAGTTCTATATATAATAATGCCATTTGTAAGTATTTAATTTAATGCCATTTTCCAACTATAAGGAGCATTTCTAGTTTGTATTTATTGATTTTAAGCTCAATTGTTTGATGATTAGAAAACACATTCTGTATAATTTTAGCCATGTGGGGGACATGTTGATACATCCGTGAAAACCCAGCATTTGGTAAATTATTTTATATGTTCCATCCATGTGCCTGAAAAGAATAAACTTCATAGTTGTTGGATACATCATTTTAAAATACATCAGGTCAATTTCGCTGATTTCAATGTTCAAATCTTATGTTTCCTTGCTTTTTTTTCTTTACTTATTTTGACAGTTACTGAGATAACTTTTGCATTAGTTTTCTATTGCTGTCATAAAAATTATCATAAATTTTGTGGCTTAAATTAATATAATTTACTCTCACACAGTTTGGTCAGTCAGAAGTCAGAGATAGCTCTCACCAAGCTAAAATCAAAATGTCTGTAGCACTGCATTTCTGTAGACTCTGAAAATGAATTCACTTCCAAGCTCATTCAGATTATTGGCTGTATTTATTTATTTTTATGTTGGTAGCTGTCGACTGGGGTTCCTTCAAGAGTATTCTTGCATTTTCAGGCTATATTATAGCTCCACTGGTGTTCAAAACCAGCAATAGTGGCTAAGTCCTTCTAAGTCTTAGATTGTCTTTGATCTCCCCTTATGCCTCATCTTATCCAGTTCCTCTTCCCTTGCCTCTCTCTGACTCTAGCCAGAGAAAATTCTTTCCTTTTAAGGGCTCACACTGAGATTGGGCCTACCAGAGTAATCCAGGATAATCTCCCTATTAACTTCCATAACCTTAATCGCATCTGCAAAGCTATTTTTGCCAGGTAAGTGTACAGATATCTTTGGGAGGCTTTAATTCAAATTATATGACCTCCCAAACATCAATTTTCTAATTTCTAAAACAGGGATATTCCTTCCTTGTAAAGCTACTGTGAGGACTAAATAAGATAATGTGCATAAAAAGAGCTTACCACAGTGCTCATAATATAGATATAGCTCCATAAACAATACATTTTAATTTATTTTAATATACTATAGGTAACCCATGCTTTAGAGGTTTTTATAGTTCCTTCCTGTCTGCCTCAGGATGGTAAAAATAAATAAATATTGACTGAAAAATTTTCTCTCAATGAAAAGATCATTAAAAACCAGACATATATAAGCTCTATATTAACTTGAGATAAATTCTTCACATGACCAAGAAAACATTATGTCTGCCTTGACTTGCTCTTGTTTACTTACATCAAAATAAATTTTGGGGGGTGAGATGAACCTCAAAAACCTGCCATCACTGTCGAGAAAGATTTGTCTCCAAAACTTGCATAAGAATGATCAGCAACTGTGTAATTTTTTCTTGAAACCAGGCAAACTATTTACTTAATGATACAATTGTTTAAAGCTAATTGAGTCTTCACTTAAAGAGAGAAAACTACTTCAATGTCTTATGTCTTGCTCATGAGAAAGACATTTGAAACCTTGTTATAACCCGTGTTCAACATGTAGATAGAGGAATTAATAATGTTTTGGTGAATTCTTGACAAACTAATAGAAGAACATGTTTACGAAGAGCGTAAGAGGGTAGCATTTAATGCATTTATAAAAGTGCTGATTGTGATTATGATATAATACCATAAATGTAAATCATATTTATTTGTAAAATAAGGTACATGAAAGTAGTTATAATTTAGAATACTAGAATGTTTATTGATAAGTAGTGAGGGGATGATTGACCTAAGGACTTGAGTTTTATTCCCAACTTCGTGGTCAATTTTGTAACCATCAATTTATACTACTGCTCCAGTTCTCAGTTTTCTCATGGTGAATAAAAAGAGTGACTAATCAGGACTTTAATTTTGGAAGCTTCTTTTATAAATCTGTGATAATGACTTTATTATACCTGTCTTTTGTATTTTAATGAAGTGTGAAATATTTTGACATTAACAATCTATTAAACTGTGAACGATTTTTTTGGAAAAACATTTAGATCTTTCTTAATTGCATAAACTTCATGTCTTATACTAAAAGGACAAATAGTATGAAAAATACCTTGCAATCTTGCACAGAATAAAACTCATTTCATTTAATTTTATTACAAACACAGCATTGTAGATGGGCAAGATAGGGATATCTATTTATACACATACACATATATAGTATGTATGTATCTAATTTTAATGTATCTTCCTAATACATAATTCATAATAGATAAAATTCATGTCAACTAAACCAATAGATAATTCATAATTTATAATTCATTGGACTAAACTAAGTACTAGTACTATGGAAGAACTATTCAAATGAAAAATGAGAATAATAGCTAAATTTCTATTTTTTTTTTGATGCTATTTCAAGCTTTAAATGCACTGTTTTTTTTTTCAAGAAAGTAAATATAAAGAGTATGGGCAAAATCAAAGGTGAAAAATATGACCATCAAGTACACACATTTGATATTATCAAACCATAGAAGATATGACCATAGTGTCAATGGGATAGGATGACCTCAGTTATCTAAAAGGAAATGCATTGTGAGAAACTTACCAGTTCAACAATGTATTGACAGCTTTGCACAGTAATATAGCTTCTCAAAATAATGTTTAAGATCAAATCTTTACCTTTCCTATAAATTTTATCACTCTGATGTTTAGGAGTTTAGGGTTTGAAGAAATTGAAGATCAATACATGTAAATATTGATTATTTCATAAAAATAAATCAAGTAAAAGAGATGAACAAAATTTTGAGACTTGCATGGTAGGGAGGATCTTATTCTAGGCAAAATGAACAGTGTGAGCAAAGGCTAAGAAAGGGAGATATTTATGAGATGTGAGAGAGTTAATCTGAACAGGATAAGGCATTATCAGGGAGAATTTGAGAATGTTCAGAATACATTGACAAATGGTCAGATTATGGAAAAGCTTGAAGGTCTGCCAGAAGAAGTGACCTTTTGACACCCGACAATAATGAGAAATTGCAAAACTTTTGAAAAGTAGAGTTGCATGATTAAAATGATATTTGAGAAGTTACTGTTTAACAAGACACTGAAAAGATTAGAGAGGGAAGTGGAAACAGTCAAATCACATAGGATGCTTTGAACTTCAAATTGAACATTATAAATTTCTGAAAGAAGGATGAACTATGAAGAGGGATCCAGGGGCAGTTAGTGACATGGATGAGGCTGGAAACCGTCATTCTCAGCAAACTAACAAGAACAGAAAACCAAACACCACATGTCCTCACTCATAAGTGGGAGTTGAACAATGAGAACACCTGGACACAGGGAGGAAAACATCACACACCGGGGCCTGTTGGGGGAGTGAGGGGGTAGGAGAGGGATAGCATTAGGAGAAATACCTAATGTAGATGATGGGTTGATGGGTGCAGCAAACCACCATGGCACGTGTATACCTATGTAACAAACCTGCACATTCTGCACATGTATCCCAGAACTAACATATATATATATGTGTATATATGTGTGTATATATATACATATATATATATAGATTCTGTAAGTAGATTTGTTGCCTAAGATAATTCACCTATCACTTTATACCAAAAATAAAGTTAGCACTCAACCGAACAAAGCAAATGTAACTCAAAGGGTGTATTTCAAAATAAGATCATTTATATATAATTAAAACTAGTTACTTGGAAATTAATTAGTATCTGTCATTACAGTAGAAACTCATTAAACAAAAGTGACTCAAAGAGGTGAAGCATTTATCGACCAGTAATTCGTCTTGTTAAATTTAAATAGGAGTTTGTATTTTGTTTTTAAGTTATATAATTTAGAAAGTCTCAGATTACAAGGAACATAATTTCTTCAAACTTTCATGAACACAAGAATGTTGAAATAACTAAAAAATATTTTTAGTAACTTCAAAAAGAATCTAGAGGTTAAAGGCCCAAATGATCTGTTTAATTCACAAATTACAGTTATTCTCCTGTAAAGCAGGCATGCAAATTTTTAAGATTAAAAAAAAATCTTGAAATGAAAAGATGGTCTGGTAAAATATGTACTATCACATTAATGTCATTCATTTTTTCATGTGTCTAACATACACATAATAGGTCACATTAGAGGTACTCTAGAAATATTTTGTAGCTTAATTAACTAAAAATAATTAATACAGTAACCACGGTTTAAAAAAAAATAAAAGTGGTTCTTCACTTATGCACTTTAGCCAAAAGAGAAAATAAAACAAAGCAAAACAACAAACAAGCATGTCCTTAAAAAGTTACAATACTACTTTTTAAATATAATTTTTCTAATTTGATCAGCATTTTTCTATAAGAATTCGGTTGTGATTTGTAGTTAATTTTTGGATATTTCAGAACTTGATTTTAAAATCCAGAAAATAACTTTACATTTATAGAACCGCAGACATTTTCTTCCAGTATTTAATTAGTATGACCACCTCAGAAATACAAAGGCAATGTATTTGTATTAGATAAATGCCTTAGGATAATAATAATAACTCGTGTTATGCCTAAGTAAGCATGTAGATGGATCTAGGCAATAAATTTTCAAAGATGATGAAAAATAAAATATCTATTATTATAAATACATTATTTTTCCCATAGTTAAATGAATTCCTAAAATAACATCGGAAGTCACATACTTCTTCTGAGTACTATTTTTTTAATGTTTTCTTGATATTTCTAAACAGTTAAGCTCATAATTTTAAAGGAATCATTTATAAACATTTATTGTATATAGTTAGATACATATATCAACAGAAAGGACAGAGAGAGAGTAAATAGAAACTGACCTCATTCACTGTGGCATAGTAGCTTTCATGCTTGAAAGTGGGTGAGTTGTCATTCCTGTCTCTCACCACTATTCGCACTTCATGGTAGATAATAGTGCCCACTTTTTTGTTGATGCACTGGACCTGCACCACAATGGAGTGTATGTTCATCGGTGGCTGCAATGTAGAAATTGCATCTTTTAAAATACTAATTAAAAACAAAGCTTCTCATCACTGTCAAAGCACTCGTTCATTCAGTACATTTTTCTATTCTTGTTTATTTTTAAATTATAATAATCTCAAAGAAAATGATCATTTTAAGGACAAGAGAAGACAATCATAATTAATTTATTGTTTAATTTTGTATCTCAGCGTGTGGAATTCAGGTAGCATTATGCTCACAGTTAGTGGATGGCTAATGAGCGCACCCACAAAATTAATGCTTAGAATTGATGGGATTAAACGAAGTTTGCCCCTCCAAAGATTAAAGAAGCAATAATATAAACTTTTAATTTGAAGAAAGTGTTAATTAATAAATTCCTGGAGAAGAGAGATTGTTTAACTTTTATGTTTATTTATATTTTTGCTGGAATATTATATGTTCATTGCTGATCAAATTAAAAATACTGATTACCAAAAGAGAAAATCCAAAAGCCAGCCAACTAAACTTACTCATTCTACACATTTAAATGCTTATTTTGCTAATCTTTTTCACTCTCTAAATATGTACATATTATAGACACACAGACACACAGTGAATATCAGCCCATGTTTATAAATATAGATTTACTATAGCATTTTTTGTATAATACTATGAAGTTATGTTATGTGACAGCAATATTATACTTCATTGTAAGCCTATAGCATAATGTATCCAAGTAATAATTTAAAATGAACTACTCCAGGCTATTATATTTTGTCATTATAAAAAATACTTCAATACATAGTATACATAAGCATATGCTTACTTATCTAATAATTTTTATAATAAATTCCTTGAACGGGAAAGGTCAAAGATATACTTCCTCAAGTGCCATGGCTAACAGTTTGCAGAGCTGGAATGCACACCTACAAATATTTGACTCTAGAGTCAGAGTATTGACCACTACAAAGTATTTCTTTGTGATTTTTAACCCCTTTTGAGCTTATGCAACTTTATCTCTAAATATGTCATTTTTGCAGTGTCCTATCCTGACCCCTCCATCTTAAAAACCTTGTCTCCAACCTGACATCTCCTTTCAAATTTCTTCCAATTTATTTTTCTTTATTGCATTTCTCACCGAAAATTTGGCTCGTTGTATATTTTATGTACTTGTTTTGGTTTGTCTGCCTTCACTAGACTGGAAGCTCAATACAACCTGTGTGTTATTTTAGTCATGATAGTATCCCTCTTTCCAGTAACCAGCCCTATGCCTAAGACAGATGATCTGGAGTCAAACTGCATGGCTTCCAGTTCCATAACCTACTAACTGTATGATCCAGGAAAAAGTACAAAGTATCTCTATGCTTCGTTTATTCATCTATAAAATTAAGGCTAATAGTTACACCAATGAGAATTGTAAATACTGCATGTGATTAGACTATACTAGGCATATGTTAAACACCTAAGGGATTACATACATATCCTATTTTATTTATTAAAAAATAAATATCCAAAATAGTGAAAAAATAAAATCTATAATGCACGACACATTTGTAAATGAGAAAAATGCTACAGAAACTATATCTAAGCTGAAGGAAATCATTATTTAGTTTCAAGATATTTTTATGGCCAACAAAGAAAAAGAAAGTTGACTTGAATTTGTAGCTGTCTGAATGATGCTACCTAGAAAGAATAAATTGAGGCATCATTGACATACGAAAAGAGGTCTCTAGTGAAATCACACATAGCTCTGTGTTTTTATATCTACTCTATTTCTCCTTTAATCACTGATATAAATGAAGGCATTAAAATCATGTGTATAAAATCTGTGAATGTTACAAACCTTGGAAGGATGTATAAATACATTTAATGACAAAAGACATGGTTCAAAGTCATCTTAATAAGTCATAATAATGGGTTACAAAATGGTAAATTTTTGCAATAATAAATTTTATCCTCCAATTTGTAATAGAAAAAAAATCACCCAAATGTAATAGACAGCTACAAACATTAATGTAAAAATGTAATTGTGAAATTTTGATAGCTAAAAGCTGATTTTACATGACAGCACTGTAAATGGGCTACTGGAACACTAATGCATACTGTACATTAATTAATAATATCAGATAATAATATATAGGTAGATTATAACAGGTACCATTTTACAGGTGCATAGAAGAGAAATTTGAACACTTTTGAGAATGTATAAAATGGGAGGATTTTAAATTTAACAACATATGATTTGTCAAATATCTAAATGGTTGTCATGGAAACATCCATTAGTTGACTTACTGTAGTTTCAGAGAGCAGAAATAAGAAAAATAGTTGAAAAATATTTCAAAGCATGTTTTCACCATAAGTAGAGGGCTTCTCTTAATCCAAATTTGCACCAAATAATTATGTGCCTCTATCAAAGTATCTCATGTAACTCATATGCACCTACTATATACCCATAAAAGTTTTTAAAAAATAACAAATAGAGCAGAGATTCTTATCAGTAGAAGAGTATAGTTTATGTTAGAAATAAATTTATGCCTTCGCACTTCCAAATACTTTTCCTCTGCCATTATGAGCTAAAATATTTGTGATGCTTCAATTTCTTTTTTTCACATTTGTCTTTGTATAAAATAAAGAAAAATCAGGAGGAAAAAGTGACATGGAATAGAACAGACTATTCTATAAAACAAGACCCATCACTGAAATATGCCAGTTTGAGGATAAAAGACCATTGAAAAAGACTAGCTCTTAGAAGTTTCCTGGAAAGAATTTGAATTAGATGACCTCCATTTTTACTACCAGCTTTCAAGTGTGTAATAGACCTTTTAAGGCATGTCCAGCATATTTTAATTGTAAATTAAAAACAAAATAAATATGTGTACTGTTTGTCCTTGGCACACCTCTTGGAAGACAATGAGGTGAATTATGCACTTTTAAAGTTATTTATCTTCCAATTATTGCAAGAGAGACCTATAAAAACATTCTATCTCAACTTCTAATTCTACTTGGAGTGGTACCACTGGGACCAAAAGGTCAAAATCTTATCAAATAGAGGATCAAATGCACTGTGTACTGAGGCCTCACTTAGTCCTGCTAAGTACCCATAAATTAGATCTAACCAGGTCACCTGGAACAGTTATCACTCTCAACTTTAGCTCCCTATGCAACTGTTAGTGGCATGGCTAGAACTTAGAGGGCAATAAATTATAACCATAATGGATCACACCGAAGGCAAAAATTCCCTGTGGCTAATATATAACACACAATGTAATTTTGTATTGGCATAGATTCAATTCTGCTGTATAAGAAGGTCATACATAAAAGTACAGTTCTAATAAGTCCATTAGTGAGAGTTTAGGGACTCTAAGATGCTTAAGAATGCATTAGGGAAATTTTGCTTTATCTTTCATAACTGGTGGCAAAAATAAGCCATGGTAATTTGACCTTTTCTAATTTTCTTTAATTGCTTTATTCATCAAACAAAGAAGAAAAAAAAGCTAGGTAGAAATTGTGTTCATATAACTATTTAAAACTATTACCATTCATATATACCTAAACATGCAAGCTATTCTTTCAATTTAAAAATGAGTGCTTAACACAATACTCTGAACGTATACTTGCACATTTGTGTATTAGTGTACCTGTGTATAGGTTATGATATGTGTATCAGGAATGATATATATCAACAATTAAAGGATACTATCATTAAAAAGTGGGTTTGAGAGTATGAAGAGAAAAAATTTTCCCACAAAAATGTAAAAATTTTGTAACTCTGAAAAAGAAAAAAATATAAAATAGAAATTTTTGTTATGAATTTCTCAATCATTTAGGATTCAACATGAAAATTAAAGTTTTTATAGGGGATTTGTTGATATTAGCAGTTTAGATTATAGCACAAATCTTCAATCCAATATATTTTTTTTCTAGAAACCAAATGATTTGGAAGTCAATGATTTGGGGGGCAGGGAATGCATTTTTGGCAAATCTGTAGGAATTTATTTTTCATAAAGTATAGGCAAAGTTTGTCTAATTCTCAGGAGTGAATTTTTTTTGTCATGATATTTCTGTCTATGGACTTACCACCTTTATAACATAATCATTCCTATTTCACAAGTAATGTGGAAGACAGTGAAAGGAAATAAGACACTGTGTGTTTTAGAAACGACTTTTACATAAAAAAGCAAACTTAAAGGAAATGGCTGGCCAGAGTTGTCAGTGTCCTTCACAAATTAAATTTTCACAATGAATAGTAGCATATTTACTGAAGATATTACCTAAAAAGAAAATATCAATTTGTAAATACAATTATGCATATGTGACATGTAGATACATCTATAGATTTTTCACAGTGAATTATTAAGGACATTCAGTCTATTTAATGGTAGGTATTTGTTATATGAAAAGTTTAATGTGGGTTAGGATTAATATGACTTAGTCCTTGGATACTAATAGCAACTTTTATAAAACTGATATGAGGTGATCATAAATAAAGTCAGTCAAAAATACTATTAAATAATATGGATTTTAGAACAAGGAATTGCATACCAGTGTTATTAGAAAATAATTTATACAGAAGCAGCATTTAAGATATCTCTTAGTAGCACATAAAATTCAACTGATAGCACTGGATAACAGTGATTTCAAAGTTTATGTTCAAAAGAACATCAGGGAAGGTATGGTAAGAAAAAATTGGATATGGTCATGGGACAATAATTACATTAGTTTTCTTAGTTTGTAGTTCATACATTTCTAAATAAAAAGAAAATTATATAGACAGGGTGCATCTTGAATCTAGCAAAACTCAAGAGACAGATAGAAAACAGTTTGCAATGAAAAGGTATCTGTGGGCACAGTCTCTGTTTCAGCACTCTGGTTGTAGAATAGGTTGAATCAAGACAGGTGGTAGACAACAATTAGTTTATATGAGTGATGACTAAGAGGTCTTATACTAAAGTTATGTTGACTGATGGAGATGCAAGATACAAGGTGGAGATAAAACTACTAAACTTAGCAGTTGAATGGACACTGGCCTGGGCAGGGGAGTCAAGCCCCTTTTGCAGCTACCAAGTTAGAGTCTGAAAGAAAAGAAGCTAAGATATTTGATGTTGTTATGAACATAATTTCTCTCGTTTCAAAAGCTTTTAAAATTTTGCCCAGGATTTTGAGATAAGTATTATAGGACTGTACCAGAGTCATACTTTTCTTTCTGTTATTATTTTAATTATTGATATTGTCATGACCATTATTATCACATGCCCAATAGTGATGAGAGCATTTTGGCCATGTGAGACAATCATTTAGCATTTCAAAATTTTTATGTGATGTGCCTTTATTACTGAGACTCTTCATGTTCACCCCAAATATCACATTCTGGTTGTTTCTCTTTTGTGACTTTTAATTTTGTAACTCTTCCTTTCTTTTTTTAATTTTTGGGTGCTGAAAATTTATGTAACTTTAGTGAACAAAAAAATAAAAATAAGACATAAAAATAAATGATGACCATAAGGGAAAATCTTATAAACCAAGTTTTAAAATTATAAAACAGTTCATAGTCATACAATCTCATGTAAATGCTTTCTAATTAAATACAAATATCTGAGCGTTGGGTATTTTTATTCTTTATATTCTTCCTCGGAAATTTTCATGAAGATCATGTTTATCAGCTTATTTTTAACACACTGTTAAAAATGTTTCTGTCTATATTGTTTGCTTTTAATTCTATTACAGCCATAATTATTCAAACGTCCCCATTAAGAGACAGTTTATTGCCTCAATGAGAAAATGTAGAAAACATGATTTGCATCACTTTCTCTGGAAAATAAATTTTTCTCTAACTGTTGCTAAAAAGATGGTATAATTGGATATGGATCTACCATGTGGCCCTACTCCTTGCTCCCTGGCTATAGATTCAAACCAGTGAGTATTTAATTGTTATTTCTCTCAGAAATTTTAAAACAAAACAAAACACAGTGACTTTAAGCCTTCTTTAATGGCCACTGCATCAAAAGTTTATGAAGAACTGGCATGGCATGAACACAGAAAACACTTAAAGTCAAATGAAAAACAAGGAAGTGGAGTAAAATTATAAGTGTATAAAGGAATCTGCTCTGCAGAGAGAAAAATAGAGAATATGCACAGAGAAAGGCAGAAACTAGAGACCATATGGTCCAAGACCAAGTAGTTTTCCTCTCTCCCTGGTAAACATACAATTTCCATAAAAGTAAATTATTTTTTATATCTATGCTATTGGTATTGTTAATATTCTCTCCCATCAGCTGGAAATCATTTGAAGGCATTGTTGTGTCTTCCTTATAAGCCAAATAACTTTGATTAAAATCAGAATATTCTTAGAAAAGCATAATTTCATAACAAAAATTCAGTGGAAAATTTTCTATAAAAATAATTTCAAGAGCAATTTACCACTAAGAAGGGTTAAAGTTAATTATAGGCTAGTGATTATAATACAAAGCTTTCGCCATTGTTAGTAGGATCAAACTCAAATTGTTGGTTCTATTTTGATATTCAGAGCATATATATATATATTTGAAATGGAATATATATATATAATATATAAATAAAAATATATTTTTGAAATGGAATATATATATATAATATATAAATAAAAATATATTTTTGAAACGGAATATATATATATATATAATTTTTTTTCTTTTTGAGACGGAGTCACACTCTGTCACACAGGCTGGAGTGCAGTGGTGTGATCTTGGTTCACTGCAACCTCCGCCTCCTGGGATCAAGTGATTCTTCTGCCTCAGCCTCTACAGTAGCTGGGATTACAGGGTACCTGCCACAATGCCTGGATAAGTTTTGGACTTTAGTACAGACGGGTTTTCACCGTGTTGGCCAGGCTGGTCTTGAACTCCTGACCTCAAGTGATTAACTGGCCTTGGCCTCCCAAAGTGCTGGGATTACAGGCATGAGCCATCACACCCAGCCCATATTTTTTATTTTGATTCATTATATTCATAAAAGAACAACCAAAAAACTTTGGGCAACAATCAAAAGAATTACATTTTAGGTAAATGCCCTATATTTTAAAAGAAACTACAAATATTTTGGTATTTATCATAATAATATAGTTATTTAATAATAATGTATATTTTATCTATATTTAGCTTTTGGGAAAAAACATTTTACATTAAATAAAATTTAAAACAGTGTAAATAAAGGTATATATATTTACATATATGAATATCATAGTATTAATATATATTTCATTAATACTGGAGAGCATATTTTCAAATACAATCTATATAAAAAGTGTGCACTCACTTTTTTTAAAATGAATTCTCTACTATATCTTTGTAGAAAATATTAACTAGGATCATAGAGAAGCATACAGAAGAAAAAATATCTTATTCTATATCAATGTAAATAATGTTAAAACAATAAAGTAAAAACATACAACACCTCTCCAAGTAAACTAAGATTATTTCAAATATTTACATAATATTATTATTTTATTTCAGACATTACAATTATTTAGCAATATTGGTATGGAAGCATATAGGGACAATATATCGAGAGGACCATTTAGTAAAATGGATAAAACTCCCTAGTCCAGTAATATAATGATGGTAAATGAATTTATCTCTATAAAACAACTAAACAATTGTAGAAAGATGCATGTACAAAAATTTTCACTGCAGCATTTTTGTAATTCTTAAAAACTGCAAACAAACTTGACTTCCAAAATAGGAGATTCATTTTTTAAAAATCTCTTATTTATTCATGCAATAACCAATCATGCAGCTAATAAAAATAATTATATAAATATACATTTGTTTGCATTATAATTTTACATGTATTATAAATTTTATGTAAAAAGTAGGCCGACAGCAAAATGAACAGCATAATCCAATTTAAATTAATAAGTATTATAAATATACATATCAACACACATAAATGCTTGAAATAAAATGTGGCAGAATAAACATTAAATGTTATTTTCCCTAACTGATAAAATTATCTTCATATATATGCTTCTTATTTTCTGATATGTTTACCATAAGCATATATTATTTTACAATTAAATGAGACTGTAATTTCCAGTAGTGATTAGATTTGGACTAAAAGCCCAGATTTACCTCACTATTTGTCTAGCAGTAATGGTCTATAGGACACATAAAACAGATGGGCACTAGGTTAAGGATATTCAGAATAAAAGCCCTTATGCTTTGATGAATGAACCCCTAAAAGCACTGTGGCAGCAGGAAAACATAATTCACAAGAATTCAAAGAATTCATAAGTAATAAAGCACATAGTAAACTGTAGTAAAATAAGAGGCAAATTGAGATTTATTAAAGACTCCAAATTTTAGACATGAAATAGTATAAAGTATCAACCACTCCATAACCTATTGTAAAGTGGATCATAAACCCTGAGCAATGATGTGAAATGATTCAGGTTCACTAAGCTGAGTATCTGACATTTGGATTTCATAAGCTGGGAACTTGTGGGTAAGCATGTTTAGAGTTACTCTCTGAGTTTTCCCAGGGCCCAGTGCAATTACTGATTATAATCCACTACCCTCTGCCCCTCTGTACTCAAGAAAGACTGAGATGCAAATAAGTGAGTACAAAGTTACTTTAGAGAGCTACTTATACCTATTAATTTTTTTTTAATTTTTCCAGAAATGAAACATCCAACTACGTTGGTAATTTAGCAATTTTTTTTTGAGGTAGTGTCTCGCTCTGCTGTCCTGGCTGGAGTGCATTGGTGTGATCATAGTTCACTGCAGCCTCCACTCCCCAACCCCAAGCTCAAGGGATCCTCCCACCACAGTCTGCAGATTAGTGGGACTACAGGCACGTGTTACCATGCCTGCCTAGTTTTTCAAATTTTTTGTCAAGACAGAGTCTTACTCTATTTGCCAGGCTGGACTCAAACTCCTGGGCTCAAGCAGTTCTCCCCACTGGGCCTCCCAAAGTGCTGGGATTACAGGTATGAGCTACTGCTGTGCCAAGCCCAATATAGATATTCTTAATAAAAAAAAATTTATGCTATCTGAGAACTACTTGACTGGCATATTACCATGAAACTTTTTCTCATTTTTTTTTTCTTTTTTGCAACTATGTAAGACATTTCCACAGTTTTGCCCTTCAACCAATGCTTACTAGTTGTAAAAGCAGGCTCCTGTGAGTGCACCCACCAAACTACATCTTCAAGCCGGCAGCTGAGTGACACACTTACATGTTGCCATTGTTGGACAGAAATGAGTTATAGCCATGCTTGTCCTACTTTGCCAAGGGTACCACCTCTTTTTTCTAAGCACTATATTTTCTTCTTGTTCAGAAATTGACAAGCTTCCAGGATATTAAAGGGGAAGTCTAACGGTTCTCCAGGACACAGATGTTCCCTTCCTTTCTCATTCTTCTTTAAATGAGTTAAAGAAACTGTTGTTGCTATACTCAGGAAATAAACTCAAATTATGTAAATAATTCAATATCATATAAACACACACATAGACATTTAAATTATAATAAACTTATATTACAGGGGCAAAGAAAAAAAATCACTAACATCTCTATCCAGAACTCTTCCGGTGCTGTTCAGGAAAAGCATTTGCTTAACAGGATCCATCAACACCCAGTAATCCACATTATCCTTTAAAGAAAGTTCTATGGTGGGGTCTGGTCCTCCAGCAGTCCCTTTGATCAGCATGTTGTCCACCAGAATTGTACCTGCAAACCAAAGAAAGGTACTTGAAAACATATTCTACTCATATGAATTCTTTAGCAAAGATCATGCTCTTAAACCGCGGCTGGCTCACAATCAGTTTTAAAGCTGAAAATACTCAACTGTATATCTAGCATAAGACAGAAAATATTCTTTACCAAAAGGCCAAAGTATCTGCATTATATTATTTATAAATAATATTTTTGGTGGAAGGCAGAGATACAGACATGGTGAGTTCCATCATCCATTTTGTGTTTCCCTCTAACAACATAAATCTGTTTCCCCCCATCTATCACTTCTCACAGGAGTTATCACTGAATTTTATCCTGAACAAAAGGAAATGCCTGTAATAGCAGAGTCTGATGTCTCAATTAATTCTGTTAGACCTCTGATGTGAAAAAAAGATATTGTGAAACTAAGAAAGGAAGAGGAAATAGATTTTTAAAAAGTAGCTGAGCCTCCCATGGTGAGAACTGCTTCTTTTTATCTTAGAGCAAATACATAAAACATACATCTTGACATGAAAGACAAAACTAGTGTGCAGAAATGGAATAGAAGCCATTCTTCTTTAAGACATGTCTGGGTTACTCTACTAGAACAACGCACTAGGCCAGTGTAACATTTCAGTGATTGCTTTCTTATTATTTTTTTTCAGCAAGCTGAATTGTAGACAGTTTTTGAATAAAACTTGAAAAGATTATGTCTCTAACCCTTTCTACTGTGTTAAAGATCCCATGCATTTTACATGTCGAATGCAAACAGCACTGATGCAACTCAAATACCATTTTTCCCTCACGCAGCAATGATCTCTTTGCCAAATAATAATGTACCATGGCTTAGAGCAATCATTTTCAACCGATCCATTTTATTAAACTTATAGATATAGAAGAGATGTGGCTATGCAAGTAAAATGTAGCCTCCAAAAAAACACTAGAATAAATGGCAACTATCGAGAGAACACATCGCCTTAGGACAGCACTCAAGAATATACAGAGAATCCATAAATACGAATCTGGCTTGAAAAATATAACGAAAAAAGTATCTGTTGCATTTTCTTAAGGCATGAAATTGGCCTAAATGTTATACCGTTGCATAATTACAAGAAAAGTGGAAGGCTCTTTAAAATATTTTCTCAGTAATTTAATAATAACTATAATTATCTATAATATTTCTTTATCATACTACTACTACCAGTCTTTATCCGCCTAAGAAATGCTGGAAAGAACCATGAATCTTTTGTAACAAGCCAGAATAATGTTTAAACACAAATGTTGTCTCACATACACATACTTTTGTAAATGGCACATTTTTTGCACTTTTTCACATACTAGGACATAATTACATGAATATTGAGTGGAATGAGTATTTTTATTTTTGACTGAAATGGCAAATACACAACCTACATACAATACACTCCAAAGTATAGATCAGATATTGATGGCATTTTATTGCCTATAAATATGTTCAAGAATGTATATATATTCAAGGCCCCAGTACATACTAATTTACAAATACTTCACACAACTCACCATGAAAAGATATTTGATCTGTATTTCAATATATAATTGAGAAATTGAAAGGGAATTTATTTTCTCATCAAGAAAACTTATGTACAATAGGCAGGTCAACTAACATTAACATTAATACCTTGACTCAATAGTGTTTAAGAGTAGCAACTGCAAATCTTCTGATTGTGTGTATGCATGTATATATATATATATATATATATATATGCTCCATATATATATGCTCCATATATATATGCTCCATATATATATATATATATATATATATATATATATATATATATGCTCCAAGCTGCGAGCAGATACACTAAGGGAAGGAGCCATTGAACTATCTTTACAAAGCAAATAGTTTATAACCAGATAAAGTTTTAATAGTAACTAATATTAAAGTAGTGAAACAAAAACACTGTATCTGGATTTATATTTTATTTAAAGATTCTAACTTTCATGGAAAAGATCTATAGTTTTCTTGCTCTCAGCTCACTCCTGAGTTCAATGATTGAAACTCAACAAAAAATCTTTCTACTGCTGGTGTGTTGAAAGAGTTTTGTTTGCTTGCCTGCTTTCCCCTTTAGAATTGTCCATTTGTATTGCCAAAAAGAAAAAAAAAAGCCTCTCAAATTTTCATATACAAGCTTGCTTTAAGCCAAAATTTAGGGGAGAGAGAGAGAAGAGAGCAAAGCTTAGGCAGACATGATACAAGGAGCAATATACATATTTTTTAAAAATTAACCTAAGTGTTCACTCTGAATTGCCTGAACAACTGTGCCCATACCCCTCTCCTTAGAAGAATACGTGACACCCAAGCTATAGTTAGCATTAAGCCAGAAACTCCTGTCTCTCCCTATCCCAGCAGTGGTGACTGTATCTTTCCACACATCCTAAGTTTTCAAGATCTGAAAAGCTAGTGTTCTAGACAATATTGGCAAGCAGCTAAACACCAGAATACTCTGGGTGTATTGGGATAATGTGCTCTCTTTCCTCCTTCGTTACTTTGCAAGCTTCCCTTTTTGCCAATAAACCTTTTGCTTAATGTGTTTCATTTGATGTTTAAATGTATTCTCTTCTTTGACTTCATTTTAAATATTACAGATAAGTTAAAAATAAAAAGATGGGAGGCACGACACAACACTAAATAAGAAAACTGGATGGCTCTATTAATGTCAGCTAGAACAAGCAATGTTTAATAGTGGTAACGAGACATATTTAATTATAATAAAGGGATCAACAGGAATAATCCTGAGTAGGCCTGTCTTGCAGAATAGGTAATACCCAAGATGGGATTCACCTTACATGAAATTTTCCTTTCATCATAATAAAAATGGTGGCAGTTCAGAAAATGGAATTAAATTTAGTTTGATACTCATATAATAGAAGTTAAGAGAGCTGGCCCTGGAATGGATAGGCTTAGAATCCAATCCATAATCCACCACTTACCAACTATGTGAAAGTGGATAACCGCATTTACCCTCGATTTTTCTCCCTACAAAATCAGTACTATAAGAGAAAAGGCATTTCTACTATAATACTATATGTATGTTCCTGAAAAAGACTTGTTCTCTTGTATTTAGAATAATAAAAATCAAAACAATCACAATCGTGTTAAAAATATTAGCACAGTTAAATATTTATTGACATTTTCAACACATTTCTTGGCTGGTCAATCTTTTACAGCCTTAAATACTGGGATTTGTGCTTCATCCTTTAAGAAGTAGGTATTGAGGGCCATTTACCTCTAGGGACGTTTTTTATAAAAATGGAAAACTTCCTCTTTCATTTAGCCTCTTTATTAGCCTATTAATTCAGAAAAATAACTTTGCAGCTTCTTTTTATGTACTTCCTGATTCTCAAGAGAGATTAACATATTAAATTACAGGAGTTCATGTAACTGCTAATATAGACTCTATTTGTACAGAATAAATGTTCTTCAATAGATTTTCCATTTTTTCTTAAGATCTTCTCACATAGCTAGCCCTTTCTTTTTAATTGTGACATTAGAGCTTGCCACCCATACAAGAGGATAGTGGGCATTAAGTATGGTCCAAAAAACCTGTGACATGCTTCTACCCCAAAGAAAAGTCTATGTTTCTATTTCCCATGTATATGATTATGTGGTTACATAACATGAGATTCTATGTTGTATACATGTGTCTATGTGTCTGTATAACATGAGAACACAAACTGTGTTGTGTTCTGAGTCCATAAGGAATACATAACAACCTGATTGAACTTGGAAGCAAATGCTTCCCTAACCATGTTTCAGATGAAATGGTAGCCCTGACAATTCCTTGATTATACTCTTGTGAAACCTTAAGCAGAGTACCTGGCTATGCTGTGTCTGGACTCCTGACTCAAAGAAACTATCAAATAATAAATGTGTGTTGTTTTAAATTACCTAATTTTAATGATATTGTTATACAATAACAGGTAATTTACACAGGATTTAATGTCAAAAGATCTATGTTCAGAATCTTGGCCGCACACTATTAACTAACTGTGAGCTTAAGCAAGTTCCCAAGATTTTTACAATCAGCAATATAGAGTTCTATGAGAAAACAATAAAAATGAATGTAAGTGGAGGCACGCAACTACCCAATGAATAACATTTTTCATCCTACAGCTACTAGCAATTTATATAGATTTGAGCATATAAAGGAGTTATATATTATTTTTCATTAAATTGGGAACATTATCAACAAAATGATTTTAAATGTAAAATGTACTTTCTGTACAACTGAAATAAGAGAAGCACAGAACATACTTAAATACCAGCAAGAAAAAAAAAAGACTATGTATGCATATGTAAAATATAAAACAAAAAGAAGGCAACAGTTTATTCACAGTAACCGTTGATAACTTTTCATGAAATAAAAGGCCATTTCTTGCTGGCAAAAGCAAAAATGAACAAGATAATAAGCAAAAAAAGTCATACTACTAAGATCAAAAATGCTTATTAGTACTTATTAGCATTTGCTGACTGTATTAACTGGACTAAGAGATAAAATAGAAAGACGTTCAGGGAATTACCATATTTAATTATCAGACTGGTGTAAATGGGAAAGGTTTATACCCTCAGAATATTGCAATATTTTATTATTTTCAGGCCATCAAATTGCTGCAGTTAAAATTAAAAGTACAAGCATACCATGCCGTGTATGTGTGTTTTTGTGTGTGTGTGTGTGTGTGTGTGTGTGTGTGTGTTTCAACATAATGATTAAAGTGGGTAAAAAACAATCTTCATACCCCACTCTCCTCAACCAAAAAAAAAAAGAAGAGTATAGAATCTAATCAGGCAGTTCTGTTCATTAGAAAAATATGTCCCAGGGGTTGAAATCAAAGAAACAAATATTGGTTATTTTATTTTATTTTATTTTTGAGAGAGTCTTGCTCTGTTGCCCAGGCTGGAGTGCAGTGGCGCAATCTCGGCTCACTGCAACCTCTGTTTCCTGGGCTCAAGCGATTCTCGTGACTCAGCCTCCATAATAGCTGGGATTACAGGCACCTGCCACCACAAACAGTTAATTTTTTTTTTTTTTTTTTTTTTTTTTTTAGTGGAGATGGGGTTCCGCCATGTTGGCCAGGCTGGTCTTAAACTTCTGACTTCAGGTGATCCATCCGCCTCGGCCTCCCAACGTGCTGGGATTACAGGCGTGAGCTACTGCATCCAGCCAAAAATATGGTTTTAAAATGTATGTGAAAGATTGATTTGAAAAGATAAAAGCCAAAAAAGCCCTGCTTGATGAAAAAGCTCAACCTCTTAACCTGTGTCTCCATTAGAATCAATTATAAACCTCAAATTTTGGGTTTTTCTTCCATTCCCTAACCAAACAATTAAATCTCTACCAAGCTGAAGATCCCCCCCCTTTTTTTTTTTTAACTAAAACTTCATTTCAACTTGTGAAATTCCTTTTTTTAGTGAAAATGCAACTGTAGAAAGTTGTTGTTGTTGTTAGATATGTGATTTAAAATATAAACTTTTTGACTGCGATTTTAAACACTATTTCAAAGTTTTAAATGATTCGATTCAGTAAATTTGTAAGTGTGATTTATTAGATTGAAAGAATTGATTAAGTGTCTTAAGAAAAAAATCCTCTTGGGTATGCTTGCCTACCCTTCTAGATGTTTGAAGAGTTTGTATTAAATTTATCAACATCACAGTAGTTTAATTATTAAAGATTGCATATATAGTACTTTGGATAGGGGAAGTAAGTTTGTTAAGCTTATGAGTTAATAGAACTTTAATCACAGAACAAATTAAAGTTTTTTCCCTTAGTTTTTCAGTCTTCCTACGGTTATAGCAGGAATGAAAATATTTACGTTATATTTATGGTCAAATACGATTTTGATTTTATCTGTGTCATTTACACATATTTAATATTAGTTAAAACTCAAGCAATATTCCATGAAAAGACAACCCACATATTCAAAAAATAAACAAAAACACCTAATTGACTGTAGGACAACAAACAATTATATAAGACAATATGTTTAAGAAATGGATGTGGAATTAACTGGTAGTAGTGAATCAATGAACATATTTCAACAACTCCATTTATTTCATTTTTTGAGTTTCTGGTTGATCCAAATCCAAGTGTATATTCCAGGCAGAGAGAAAGGTCACATCATAATCCTCCTCCATTTCTCCTCTGATTTCAGATTTAATTTTTAATATAAGATATTTAAAACCTTTTATTCCATAGATAAATTTGTACAATAGAAAATGTGGTTTTTTAGTACCTCTAGGAGAATTCTGAGTTGTCATAACCCTACAGTTAAATCTGTTTTCTCACCTATAAAATCATTCAGATTAACAATTCTGTAAACAATAAGGCAAAATTATTTAATATGTTATTGAAAATAATAAAACAGATGGATGTTATGACAATACTAAATGTGAATTAGAACTATGTTACAGAAAAATGTTTTGTTTCTATAGGTAATTTGCTTCTGGAAACAATTAATTGGAGGACATATTTAATAACCATACGTGCTCAAGCAGTTTGCTTTTTTCATGTAAAAGTGGGCAAGTATTAAGACTAAATTCTGTCATTTTTTT